>NC_000006.12:23393333-23696363 GCF_000001405.40 Homo sapiens
CTTGGCTGAGCAGAGTGATGCTGTAAATATGACTGTGCAGGGCAAAACTATGCAATATGATCATATTTATCAGTGGGGAAAAGTACAATTGTCATGTGACCTTAAAAAATTTTGCCAACACGTTAAAAACCTTATTGTCAGTTATAAATGTATAGAGGAATGAAAAATAGTAAAACCAATATTTATGTAGTACACTGTCATTTCAAACGCTAGATACACTGAAAATTACTGCTTTAGGCTGGGCCCAGTGGCTCATGCCTGTAATCCCAACACTTTGGGAGGGCGAGGAGGGAGACTTGCTGGAACCCAGTAGTTAGAGATCGGCCTATGCAAGATGACAAGACTCCATCTCGAAAGGAAGGAGGGAAGCTGGGAGGGAGAGAAGGAAGGAGGGAAAGAGGGAAGGGAGGGAGGGAGGGAAGAGAGGGAGAAAGGAAGGGAGGGAAGGAAAAAGGAAAAGGAAAGAAAAGAGAGTGGGAGAGAGGGAGGGAGGGAAAGAAGGGAGGGAGTGAAGGAAGAATAAAAGGAAAAGGAAAGGAAAGGAGTGAGGGAAGCAAAAAGGAAAAGGAAAAGGGAAATGGAAGAAAGGAAGAAAGGAAGGGGAAAGGAAAGGAAGGAGTGAGGGAAGCAAAAAGGAAAAGGAAAAGGGAAATGAAAGAAAGAGAGGAAGGAAGGAAGGGGAAAGGAAAGGAAGGAGTGAGGGAAGAGAAAAGGAAAAGGAAAAGGAAGAAAGGAAGCAAGAAAGAAAGAAGGAAAGAAGGGAAGAGAGGAAGGGAGGGAGGGAGGAAGGAAGGAAGGAAGGAAGGAAGAAAAAGTTAGCTGCGCACTGTGGTGCATGCTTGTAATCCCAGCTCCCTTGAGTCCAGGAGTTTGAGGCAGCAGTGAACTATGATCATGCCACTGCCTTCTAGCCTGGGTGATGAAGCGAGACCTTTTCTCTGAGGAAAAAAAAGAAAATTACTGCTTTAGTTCTTTGTAAAATGCTGATCTAGAGTCATTTCCACAATGCTTGCCTTCTAATAGCATAAATTACAGTAAGCAGTGAGCATCTTTTCTACATTTTAGTAGATTGCAGTTTTCCTTTGCTAAGTTTCTATTAGCTGTAAACATTGTATCATTTAGTTTCCAATGAGATAAAATATCTCTGAGATTTTCTTTTGTGTGAAATTTTGTGTTAGCGTCACTTGATCTGGGACATCTTTATCCTTTTGATTACAATTGCTTTCCTCATTAATGTCAGTAAGTTTGCCTTTGCAGTGATTCTCTGTTTGTATATCTAGAGTCCAGGCAGCTTATGCAGAGTGTAAAATCTAGGGCAGCAGGGTCAGCATCCCTAGATCAGCTATTTCTTCTACAATTCCATGTATGTTCAATCCAGATTTCACTTCCAGTGTTAGCATGTTTTGTGTCTTTGCTGCATTTCCATCTTTGATGGCCAGTTCCCAACTTGGAGTATCTATTTTTTTGCAGTCATGTGGTGTTAGCACGGAGATGAGAAAGAGAGAAAGACAACATCATGCTTTGCTGTCTGTGTGTGAACTGAGTAACAGCTGTGAAGGATCAGTCACCAAAAGACTTTGAAAGAAGAGGCTTGATTGGTCACGGTAATGATGCTCCCCTGGTATGTAGTGATGTGTGAGCTGATAGGCTAGCAGCAAAGTTTGCAATTTATGCAATTACTTACAGTTAATATGCTATGGTACCTGAAACTTGAACATATCATTGGGAATTGGCATTATTTAACTAAACCAGGATAACTGAAATCTGTGCATATCACAACAACTGGGAAAAGCAAGAACTGTCTGTATTGTGATCTTAATGCACAAGGAGTTTGAATAGTGAAAATTGCCAGTTTTAAAGAGAAAGAGAGAGACAGGAGAGAAAGGGGGATATTTGTTAAAAACAAGCAAAATTCAATTTTTTAGAAACACATTAAAGGAATTGAAAATGTTATTGAATACATTTAATATAGATAATTCCATGCAATATGAGATTAAGAAGTAGGCAGATAACATAAAAAGAAATATTCTACTTATCTTCAACTTAAGTGACAAAAAGGGGTCCTTAAAAGAAATCAATACAGAAGGCCAGAGAGACAGGGACTGGGGAAAAAGCCAGCCAACAGATGCACACAGGACATAAAGGCAGTTTTATAAAAGCAAAACATGCTAGAATTTTTTCCCATAAAGCCCTTGAATAATGATAAATGTGAGTGCTATGTATGTATATTTGGAAAACCAACTGTGCCTTCTGCTTTAGTTGCCTTTTTTGCACCAATAATTTCTTAAACAATATTCTATTTCTACAGCATAACTCTGTCACCGTAGTGTAGCCAAGCTTTTCTTTGACAAATCAAGTACTAAATAATTCATTGCTGCTCTGAGGGGAAAAATATTCTCAGCATACTGCTACGGAAAGTTTCCCTTCCTCAAAAACAGGACAGTTTAACATGGATCTGCAGAAGCATGTCCTCTTCGTGTGCAGGTGTCTTTCAGATGAATCGGGACTGGGTGCACACCTTAGGAAGGGGCTGGACTCACTGGTCAGCTGGCTGTTCATCTTATTAAAATACTTTGCTGTCATTATTATTTATCTGAAGTGAATGGCATTCTATTAATGCCATTAGGCATTAATTAGTTGGGCATAAAATATATTCTTTTACTAAAGAAAAATATAATGATTTAATCTAAATAATAACTGTAGTGGTTTTTTGGGTTTATTTTATGCATTTTTTATATTTATATATTTTGTGCATTTCCAATCCCTTTATTTCAGATAGTTTTTATAAAAAGATGGGAGAAGCCAGGATAGTAGGCAGAGAGCAGGTGTAGCAGGTGTGCTTGAACAACAACAAAATAATGTTGAGATAGAATGGTCTGATGGTTATTTCCAAGAATTAAAATATATTAGGTGTATAGATATTTATTAGTAGTATAGCTATCATGAAAATAAATCATTGCTGAGGATACAAAAAAGTCAAGACCAATTTATTTTTAATTAATTATGTATTTTTCAAAATTCAAAGAATAAAATCTGATTTTATTTTAAAAGACATTCCTCATAAATTTTTTTAATCAACATATATTTGTATTATATATATTTATGGGTACAGTTTGATGTTTTGATATGTGTATACATTGTATAATGATTAAATCAGAAATATCAGTTAGCTGGCTAGATAAATGCATATCTCTTCCTCTCCCATGTACCAGGTACAAAACAAGTTGAAGAAATAATATATACAAACATAACATATTTGTCTTGCATATTTATCTTGCATATCTCTAGGGGTCTTGAAGAGCTTGCAGAATTCATACCATTAATTCTTACTATATCCCTGTGAGATAGAAAGCAAGCAGATATTATTAGACAATAACATAACTAATGTGCACACATGGAAGCAGGAAGGCTGGCAAGTTTTGAGAGGAGGCCTAGCTCAGCTGGTTTTCTGCCTTTGGGGGCAGGAGAATGGCTGCAAGGAAACTGTGCTTGCTCCATAATATACCAGGCCCTTCCTAGCACTGGGAGTCTTTTTTGCCTCTAGTCCTTTAATAACTAAATTTATCTAAGTAACTCCCTAAACTGTTATCTAAGTAACTCCCTAAACTGAATACAAAGATGAATCTTTAAGCAAGTGAACTTTTTGGCTCACTTTTTCTTACTTCTTATTAGCGGATTGTCCTATAGTTTGAGTCCCTTTGTTTATAGCTTATTTACCAAGTCAAAACTGTTAACCAACTGGTACAACTCCAGCTGTATCCCCACAGGCTACAGAGAAATCCAGACCCTCCTCATTTTGTCTCCAATGTAACTGCAAATCCATAAAAGTCGTCCTTCTCATGTTGATTCCTTGGAAAGTCAAGTCCTTTAGAAATTCTAATGAAGAACTAGGTATTTACACTGCTGCTTCCTTACCACAGGCCATGGAAGTTTAATTGGGAGAAAAGAACATCTGCTTATACGAAAACATATTATATTCAGCCATCCCTGCCCTGACTTTGGCCTTTAAAAACAGTGGCATTAATTATCTCAACAAATGAATCTTCGGGATAAAAATAATCTAAATATTATTTTACGCTTACTACATATTTGCAACGTGCTAAGCTCTTTATGGTTGCTACCACAAAAAACATTTATAATATGAGGTGGGTATTTTTATTATATACATTTTCAGTTTAAAGACAGTAACTTCAGAATGTAACTTGTCCTAGTCACACAAAAGCAGGTGTGGACTAAAACTCAAACCCATGATTCTTTCACTTTAAATGATATGGTTCTGAACCATTAAATTCGAATGCTACTAAGAATGGTGAATGCTAAGCAATGTTAAGCTACACATTGTTATTATTAACAAATAATTTCAAAAGGGCAGGAGAGGTAGGTTAAAAATTAAAGGGTTAAGCTGGAATAACATGTCAAATTTCTCAGAGTTTTTTATTTTCATGAAAAAATATATTTTATATTGCAACAGAATGAACTTGACTTAACAGTTTAGGTAGCTGATTGCATATATTTTGATAGTCCTATCATATTTCCAACAAATACATTTTCTCCCCACCCCACCTGCAACTGGAGACTTCACAAGGTTAGGAACAGGCTTCACTTCATTGTGATGTGTGTAAGGTGACAGAGGACATATAACGAATACGTGGAAGAACTAGGAATTTGACCTTAGCTTCCAGACATTTTGAGGAGGATACACTATGTCCATCTTGCTTTCCTATCAAGAAAAGTATACCCAGTTTGTGCAGTAGCCCTGTACCAACAGATACATTACAGCAGGTACTGCTTTCCTCTTTTTTTTTTTTTTTTTTTACTGCTGCAGTTGAAGCTTTAGGTAAAATGTGAGAATAATATTATGGCTACGTCAGGAAAATAATAATGTATTTGATATCAAGGTCTCACTCACCAGTTAAGTAGTGAATAGAATATAAGCCTGGTGAATTTTGACTGTGCCTTATAATTTATTTAAATATGCTTTCACTATTCTGGAATCCTTAGGGGATTATTTCCAGGATTACTGTTTTGCAAATATACAGGTAATGCTAGGGTCTTAAGAACTCTTCTTTTAGGGCTTTACACCAGTTTAATTTCATATAATAGTAATATGAATGATCACAGACCTGCGGGTTCCCGGCTTTGGGTGTACAGTATAATAAATCCAACCAAGGATGGGTAAAGTGGGCTGCAGGTGTTTGTCAAAATACTCACAGCCATTATTAAAACACTGTGAGTTTAGCCAAAATAGAAAGATGTTTACCAATTTCCTTTTTACTCACATTTTTATATCCTTCTGAATTTTACTGAAACATAAGTGTATGCATTGCTGGTTCTTTTTTACTTAATTCATCACAATTACATTTATTTGATTATAATTTCTAAGAGCTCATTTTGTCTGGAGGAATAGCAAGTTATCTTATGCTTGAAAACCCAATTTTATGTATTCAAATAAACAATTTCATAGTGTTTCTTTTATAAGATTTTTTCTTTTATAAGATTTTTATATTGCAAGATTTCCTTTTTTTAAGGCTGAATACTATTCCATTGAATACATATACAATATTTTTTATCCTTTCATCCACCAATGAATATGTAGGTTGTTTCCGTATTTTGGCTATTGTGAATAGTGCTGCAATAAACATGGAAGTGCTGATATATCTTTGAGATCTTGACTTCAAACAAAAGAAGAAAATCTTGCAATATATGACAACACGGATTAACCTGGAGGACATTGTGCTTAGTGAAGTTAGCCAGTCACAGACTGACAAGTACTGCACGATTCCACTTATGTAAGTTTTATTTTTTTAATTTTTTACTTCCATAGGTTTTGGGGAACAGGTGGTATTTAGTTAAATGAGTAAGTTCTTTAGTTGTGATTTGTGAGATTTTGGTGGACCTGTCTCCCAAGCAGTGTACAGCGAACCCAATTTGTATTTTCCTATCCCTCACCCTCCTCCCACCCTTTCCCTCCTGAGTCCCCAGGGTCCATTGTATCACTCTGCCTTTACATCCTCATAGCTTAGCTCCCACTTAGGAGTGAGAACATATGATGTTTGGTTTTCTATTTCTGAGTTACTTCATTTTGAATTATAGTCTCCAGTTCCATCCAGGTTGCTGCTATGCCATTAATTCATTCTTTTTTATGGCTGAGTAGGATTGTATCATATATATACATATACAAATGTGTATATACACAAATATATGTATATATATGTATATGTGTATATATACACAAATATATGTATGTATGTATACACACATACGTGTGTGTATATATGTATGTGTACACACACATGTATGTGTATACACACACGTGCATATATGTATGTGTATATACACACGTGCATATATGTGTATATACACACGTGTATATATGTATGTGTATATGCACACCTATACATATATACACATATATATGTATATGTATATGCACACCTATACATATATACACACGTATATATGTATATATGTATAGACACACACGTATGTATGTATATGTATATACACACACGTATGTATGTGTACACACATGTATCTATGTATATGTGTATATACACACGTGTATATATGTATGTGTATGTATATATACATACATATATGTATATCTTACAATTTCTTTATCCACTCGTTGATTGATGGGCGTTTTGGTTGGTTCCGCATTTTTGCAACTATGAATTGTGTTGCTATAAACAAGAATGTGTGAGTACCTTTTTTGTATAATGACTTCTTTTCCTCTGGGTAGATAACCCGTAGTGGGATTGCTGGATCAAATAGTAGTTCTAATTTTAGTTCTTTAAGGAATCTCCACACTGTTTTCCATAGTGGTTGTACTAGTTTACATTCCCACCAGCAGTGTAGAAGTGTTCTGTTTTTACCACATCCATGCCAACATCTAAGCTATCTAAAATAGTTAAATCAATGGAAGCAAAGAATAGAATTATATTTGTCATGGGCTGGGAGAATTGAGAAACTGGTAGTTACTAATCAATGGGTATAAAATTTTAGTTGTAAAGATGAATAAGTTCTAGAGATCTGCTATACGATATTGTGCCTATAGATAACAGTACTCTATTGTACACTTAAAAATCTGTTAAGAGAGTAGATCTCATTTTAAGTGTTCTTTCCTCACTAACATTTTTAAAAGATATTTATTATATTGTACTTCATGTGTTTCAAGTAAAACTCTATAATAGTTTATGCTCTACTTCCTATTTTCTGACACTATATGGTCCTTAGTAATATAAACTAATAAAAAAGCAAAAAAAAAAAAAAAACCCAAAAAACAAAAAATGAAGCAATAGTTTTAAGTCATAACAGCCCCGGCATATATAACAATCCTCTCAAGTATTCGACATAATTTTAGGAAACAATTTACTCATTACCTAAGTTTCTTAAAAATATTTTTATCAACACCTAATATTTACCAACCTGATGTGACAGACATTAGAGAGCCAATGATGAAGTAGAGCGGGTCATGAGGTCAAACTAATCTACTAATTACTAATTAAGAATTGCTCATTACTAATGAGTAGGGGTACATAGAAGTAAATGATAATACATAATTGGTATTATAATATAGATAATTTTAAATTAATTCAAATAATATTTACTGATCAGTTACTATATGTTCTTGTAAGACCCTGGAAATATAAAGATGAAAAATTATAGTCAGTTCAAGAAATTTATGTTGATGAACAAATCATGGTAGATATTCGAAGGACTGAGTCGTCAATTACGCTTTGGATGGGATCAGGGAGGGATAACAGAGTTGTTGACAATTGTATCTTAAAAAGTAAAGAATAGCTTATCAGATGAAAGCAGGATTGGTAAATAAAAAGATTATTCTAGACCAACTAAATACTTTTAAAGGGATGAAGCTATAACACAATTCGAGGTCTTTGAATGATTTTGTATGATTGGAACGAATAGAACAGGGTTGGCAGGAAATGAGGGTGGGACAGGGAATAACATAGATTCCTAATTGACGAAGCTGTCAGGGACGTGCCAGATCTTTTTGTACGGCAAGCTAACAAATTTAGCATTTATTCTGTGATGACTAAAAGGCACTGAAAGAATAAAACAGCAGTGCATGATATTAAGATTTTTGTCAGGAATAAAGTGATAGCGGCAATATAGAGGGTGGATAGATAGAAGGACAAAAAAGACCAGATTCAATGACAGCCCTCAGTTACCTTTACAGTTTTCTAGACAAGAGATGATAAAAGCTCAAGTGAAAGTATCATGAGTAGAAAGAACAGTAAGAACTATTCAGTCATACAATTTGAGAGGAATTAAAAACCAATTAGATGTGGCATATGAAGAAAAAATTGTTAAGGCTAAATTATCTGGTTTAGGTTACTGCATTGATAGTAGTACTCATTTTAAAAGGACATGAAATTTCAAACATAAACAGGTTCCAGGGAAAATAAGAAATTCAATTTTTAAAATATTGGGTTTGGTGAAAAGTTAGATTTATAATTTAAAACTCAAGACATTAGAGTTAGATCTAGGAGATATCAGCATTTATGTGGCAACCAAATCGCTGGAATAGGGATGACTTTCCAAGGGATCATATAAAAAAGAGCAACAGAGAACCAAGGGAACACATTAGGAAGCATTGTTACTTTAAGGAGCAGGTAAAAAGGAAAGAATACTGGTCATTAAGACAGAGGCAGAAACAGAGAGGCGTGTCATGAAAGCAAAGGAGTTATAAAATCCACATAAAGGTCAAGAGAAAGCAAAACTTCACAAAGACTACATACGGTAAGAACTGAAACACATTCATTGATTTTAGCAATTAATTAAGAGATCACAGATCATCCATTTAGCAGCATTGGTGAGGATAGAAATCAGATAAAATGATGGGAGAAGTAGATGAGATTTAAATGTGTGGACATAGCAAGGAGACTCCTAGGAGACTCTTGTCTATGAAGGAAGAAAGGGAGGCTGATACCAAGAGGAGAAATATAATTTAGAGAGTAAGAGTGGCTGTATCATGTCCAGGGTTTGAGAAAGAAGACAAAGAGGGAATGGATTCATATGCAGGAGAGATGAGATACCTGATGAGAAACCATCCGGGAGAAGCTGGAGTCGAGTAGAATCCAGTATAGGTGGAAGGTTAAACCCTGAAGGGGTGAGGGAGAAGACCAAAATGAAATTTTGGTGCTCTCTTGATACTTAGGGCAAGAAAGTGAGGGAAGTCGTTCCTCAAGGCCTCTTTCTTCTCTGCGAAGGTGGTTTTTGGGTGGTTTCTGATGTTCATCTGGAGGGCCGTGAGGGAAGGGAAAGGCTTGATCACAATGGATAAGGTTTAGAACAGCTATAGGGAGAAAAGGCAGGACATTTAATCAAGAAAGAATTGGAGGCTTGGCTGAGATTTAATATATGTTTAGTGACATTTGTTCATTCATTTACATAATCATTTATTCATCAAATAAATATTTATTGAGCATCTACTATGCCTAGGGATTATCTGATTGTTGAGGAGTTACCAATAAATGAAAAAAGAAATTTCCACTCACATGGAATTGGGGGAGTGGATAAAAAACACAATAAGTAAATCATAGCCTATTCAACCCCGTCACTATTTTCTGCCTTTTTTCCAAAGGAAGACTACAGTTCCTATCTTCACAGGTGGCTGTTAGCTCTAAATGAACTCATTTATTTTGAAAGCATGATTTAAAGTATAGTTTTAAACTATAAGCATTTCAGAAGTGATGACCCATGACTCAAATCTCAAAAATAAATGCTACAGTTCACAGTTGGAATATGGACACAAGAAAAATAATAGGTGAGTAAAAAAAGAATTTTTACCACAGAACAAAAGTTTATTAAACACAATTATGAATGAATATTAATGTCAACAGAGTGCTTTTTAGATGCCTCCTAAGCTTTGTATGCACCTAAAAGAGATACAAGTCAGCTCAGCTGCTAAGGAATAGGCAGACCAGAATGCAGTCAGAGAAATAAACAGTTGAACAGATAATTCCAAAAGGATGTGATAAGTGTTATGGGGGGAATTCGGAGAAAGTGCCGAGGCATCACACAGGAGAGACCAGCTGTCCCTGGCATAGCTGGTGGAGATCTTATTAAACAACGATACTAAGGCTGACTCTTGACTATGAAACGAATTTCACAGAGAAACAAGCAAAAAAGCAATAGAAATATTAATTTGTGTACCCTATTTCATGACAATTATATACAAAAACAGAACGTTCAAAGCCTTAGGCAATAAAACTGATATTTCTTGCAACAGGCTTTGGCCAAAAAAGAGTGCAGTTCTGTGATGAATATCAGCTTCATCAACATGCCCCAGGCACCGTGATGTCCCTCCTCTGCTCTGCTGCATAACAGGGTGGAGACCAAATCCAACAGTATGAACAAGCATCCATCAAAACCACAGTTCTATTATTGAGACCATTTCTGATTGAATTTCCTCAGCAGACTATCCAAGTCGTCATGTTCATCAAGGTATTCAATTTAAATGACCATTAAAACGAAATTAAGTTGGTATTAACCTTGTCTTTTCAGATGATGCCACTGAAAGGTAAACATACCATTCTGACATGCATGAAAATGAAACGACAAATTGATACACGCAGTGCTTGGAATGGATGGAGTCCTTCTAATGAGTGATTACCTGTGGTATAACTATATTGATTGTGTTTGTACATGTCAAATGGGGCTGGCGAGGATGAACTTGAAGAAATCAATCTTGGAACCTGCTAGGACAGCAGCCTCCTGGTTTCACAGTACTAAATCATGACTTCAAAATTTTGAAGTAAAAGAAAACTGCAAAACTTTGTAAAGGTACCAGTCTCTTCCTGACACTATTTGCCTTGGCAAAAGATTCACTGTCAACTTAAAAGACTAACATGTGCTCAGATGATGATTTGTGGAGGACAGATAATTATGAGTACATTTAGAAATACACACTCTTCCAAACCCTGCTCTTTCCATATAATGAAGTTATTTATTTCTATTTTTTATTTATTTTTCTAATAATTACAAACATACTTTGGAGACCCACATTCCTGTATTATTCTTTCAACATACTGAAGAAGAGTTATTTCTATGCTTCTTTCTATGTGTTGGGCTTAAGATTTATTAGAAGGAATGTGTAAAAACAAAGGCAGCAAAGTTTCTATTTTTATTGGGAGTCACTCCCGGAGTAAGTGGGGATAGTTGTGCACACACACACACACACATTCATGCACAAAGAAAGAGTGATCAAGTGTATAACACACTTTTAGCAGTGTTTTGCTGGAAGAATAAAGTATAACTCCTTGTCCGCCCTTTTATTATACTGGGGTTCACACTAAGAGAGTCTGAGGACCTGTGGAACTCCCATTTGCATGAAATAACTTTTGCATCTATTCTGGAGGAAAACTTCCTAAGGCAGATTTGGACAGAAAATTGCTATCAGCGCAAATAAAACAATGCAAAGCCTACTCCGGGGAACGTTGCTCTGCCACCACTACTGAAATGGGTCATCCCCTTGGTTTCTGAATAAAGAATTATGAAACCTGGGGCTAGAATGCTCAGGGAGGAATTTACCAATCCAAATCTTCCCCTTATGGTAGAGAACAAACTTTCAAGGTTTGTTCTCCACTGTAAGTGTGCGAGGGCTGTTAGGGACCGTAATATGGCTGCCGGAGACTGGTGTGTGTACCTCCTTGACTGTACGTCTCATTTCCAGTTATGATTTTACAATCATCTCTTTCTCAACCTTTGCTTTTAAATATAGGAAGGTACGGCTCACCATGGAGCGGACATTTTCTTCAGGAGCGGTACGGTGTCTAAGATATGCAGAGGTTGTATTCTAGTCCTATAACTCAATTCTCAAACACATGGCTTTTAGCCAGGGATATCCTAAAGGAAAATTACACTATATGCAACCCCTCCTTACTCCTCAAATATTATCTATATTAAACACAGCTGAAATTTGAGAGTGTCCTTACAGGTGAAAATTTAACAATTTAACAAAAGGACACTGCTGAATGTGTGGGGACAAAGGAAGGATGAATCTTTCATCATGACAAAAGACTACTTGCCACATTCTCCCTTAACTTAGAAAAACAGAAAAGAGGCTGGGCGTGGTGGCTCCTGCCTGTAACCTCAGCACTTTGGGAGGCTGAGATGGGTGGATCATTTGAGGTCAGGAGTTCGAGACCAGCCTGGCCAACATGGTGAAACCCCGCCTCTACTAAAAAATTCAAAAACTAGCCAGGCATGGTGGCGGGTGCCTGTAGTTCCAGCTACTCAGGAGGCTGAGGCAGGAGAATCTCCTGAACCCAGGAGGCGGAGGTTGCAGTGAGTCGAGATCACACCACTGCACTCCAGCAACAGAGCAAGGCTCTGTCTGTCTCAAAAAAAAAAAAAAAAAAAAAAGAAAAAGAAAGAAAAAGAAATAGATGATGTACCTTATTTGGTTTTTCCGATTAACAGTCATGTTAGTTAATCCCACATTCACTACTAAATAGTCTAGCAATGTGAAAAAAAATCATCTGAAATCTTAGGTGTTCAAAAATCTTCTCTTTCTTCTTCACTTCATTGAATTTATAAATGCTCTAAAATAAGATAATCGCTTCCCCAGTGAAGTACTATTCATATGTGTTACATATCTGGCATACTTTTATCCTTTTAAAATTCAGCTAAACAACTGAACCAAAGTTTTTCCATTTCCCATTTTTGGATCAATCAGGGTGTAAAATTCATTTTTAGTTTTTAAAAAGCTATTTATGCAATGAAATTATAGCGACTGTGAATTTTCAATTTGATCAACATGTATGCATATATAAAATGGGGTGTGTTTATTTTGTAAATATATTAGAATGGTGTTTGTAAGGGGATAGTATGTTTGCCTGAATCTATACCCATTTTGTAAGTTAAATAGTACTGAAGCCTGATGGTCCTAAAGGCTGCTGGAAAATACTGATCAGTCTTGGAGGCACTGCTGAGTTATCCATAAAGTAAAATCTGGGACTGGGTAGAAATACAGTAAAATAAAAACTAAGAATCTACACTGATGTCTAAGGTTTCAAGGAATCCTAAGAAGTAGTCACTGTGCTATGAAATACAGATTTTACTCTCCTTGTCACGTGGATAGGAATAACAACAGCAGCAATACATTCTCATTAAATAATGATATAATATAAAGGTAGTATGTTCATTGTAGAAAATTTGAAGAATGCATAGAAGCACTAAGAAAAAAAATTAAAATCATGTCTAATCCATTGTGTACCAGAGAGCTAAGGTGCTTGTGTGTGTGTGTGTGTGTGTGTGTGTGTGTGTGTGCGCGCGTGCACGCGCATAAACATTATGCCTTCTATATCTGCTTCCAGCGTTTTCCTATGCATAATTTCCACAGAACCCTAAAAACTACAGTGGTCTGTATTCTGCTATTTCATTAAAATTATTAGGGAAGCATTTCCCAGGCTGCTGCAAATTAGATAATGGGATGTTGTATCTCAAAGAGAGGTAGAGATAGAGAGAGGCGATTCATGGTATGGCTTTATTAAGTAGTGAATTTTTCTCTGTGTGTGTGTGTGTGTGTGCATGCGAGAGAGAGAGACAAAGAGAGGGAGAGAGAGGGAGAGGCAGACAGAATGTCACATTCAAGGCACTTATTTGTGTGTATCCTGTATTTCCTTTTTGGTAGAATGTGAGAATTAACTCAAAAATAAATTTAGGCCCATAGTGGTCAGACATCTGCAGTATAGAAGGTAAAACTTTTATAAACAACCCATAATAACTAATTCACTGTTACAGAATACAGCATCTAAATTCACAATAATATGCCAAAGAATTTCTGCTATTACAGCTGTACATCTATTTCTACAGTTCTAAACTTTTGCACAGGAGTCCCTGTCTGTGTCCTCAGTTGACCATTACCGCTTGCTTGTTCTTAATTGCCCCATATCAAATTTTAAACCGAAGAAAATAACATATGGGTCTTCTTCACAAAGCTCCAATTGTTTGTCCTAAAAATCCAAAATGAACTATCACCATTAATTTCCTAGCCACATCTTTCTCAATAATGACATTTTGATGACCAACTATAAAAATAACTTTACTGTTAAAAGTTGAATTCTACAAGTCAATAAAATTATAGTTGAATCTAAAAGACCCACTGCTTCCTTCCTCTTATTTAGGTCTTCTCTAGTTTACTTCCTCCCTTTGTTCTCCCATTTATATTTCTTCTACCCTTTTTCATTCCTGCCTGCCTTTCTTGTTTCATTAATTAATTCTTCCTTTATTCTTTTTCCATTTTTTGCACCTTTATTCAGTAAACTTACTTGAATGTGCTGAATTTATTGAAATGTATGGAATACTCACCATATATGCACAGCTGTGTTTTTCTGCTGTGTGCAACCTGAAAGCATTGCTTATTTCATCACAGTTGCAGAGATGAGCGTGATATCAGGGATGAATATACCAGTGCACCAAAGTGTCTATTATAAACTCAACTGCTCTTATGTAGACAGAACGACAAATGAACTGAAAATTCCACCAACCTTGGAGAGCCCTCTAGGTGCTAATGTTTGACAGTCAGGATTCTAAGCAGGCTGCCTGGCAAAGCAATAAAAGCCTTAAATGGTTTGGGGACCACAAGTCCCTGCTTTGTAAAGTATTCATGAAGTGGAATGACGATGACCTGCTACCTTGATATGATTTTCAGTCGCCTCAAGCTCTCTGTGCTGCGTTCAGTTTGACCTGCTTTGCTACCTTTGACATTGATCTATTCTTGAGATTGTAGCTATAGGCTTTATGTTTGAACCTGAGATTAAAGTTGGATATAAAAGTCACCGTAATGTCTCTGCCTATAACTTGATGGGCTTCTATTGCAGTCCTTTGTACTAATCAGAGTGGCCACTGAAAAGTCCATTTGGAAAACAAGATCTTCCGGGACTTGAGTTGCAATAAAACCATTGCAGAAGGTTGAGGGGAAAGAGGGAAGAAAAAGAACGGTCGTGACACTAAAGACCAGTCCTGAATTATAGAAGGAAATCAGAGGGAGTTGCTATAAATAGCCACAAGCAGTTTGTATTTGATATTGGTTCGTCCAATACATTCAGCTAGAAATGACAAAATCATTATTTTCCCTTCTCCTCGTGGGTCTCACTTACTAAGATGCCTCAACGTGTTTCATTTCCATTACTCTTTTCCCGTCTGCTTGCTTTGCCACCAGCAAGCTTTTTTATTCTATGTCTCATCCCCAATATAGTCGGGAATACTTACTTACATTTGTCTGTGCCTAATAGTAATTTTCTACATTCTTCTGTGTCCTTCGCGACTTTTCACCATAATGAGTACTTTGCAAAAGGTAATGAATTTCTGACTTTTCTCTTGCTGTCTCTCTCTTTCATTCTGTCCTCCTCTCCCCCTTTTTTTCTGGGACTATTCTTGAGTTATTCAGAATAAAGGAAAAACTACATAATGAAGAATGTAATGCCAGTAGGAACATACAATTGTGCCTTCCAGGTACTAAAAGAGGAGAGAGGAAGACGGCACAGCACAGCTGATAACGTGGGTGCCCTGCCTCTCCTGTAAAGGGGATCTTTTCTCTAGCTAATTTCTACTTAGAAACAAAAGATTTTTCAGAGAATGGGGAGAGAGGACTGAATGATGCTCCAATTTGCATTTCTGTTCACATAATACCCATGTTCAGTTGACTAGAGAAAGGTTCTTTTTTCCCCTTGTTTCAGATGGAAGCACCTGTTTAAAAATACTTGAATCAAATTTTATTCACAATTACTATTTTTCTCAAACCTGTCTCTGATTGCCAAGGAAATACATTCTGAAATCTATTGGGTGTTTTTTTTTTTTTTTTTTAAGTCTGCACTAAATAACTTACAGTAGCATGGCATAGTAAGAAAGAACGTTGTTTCAGGAACTGAAGATATAGGTTATAATCTAAGCTATGTCATTAACGAAGTGTTATTAAGTAAATAATTTAAGCATCTTGGTCATCATTTATTTTCTTATAAAATTAGGAGTTTGTATCAGATCATCTGTAATTTACTTCCCAGTTTTAAAAACAAATCTGGTCTTCTGTCACTCTTGCAATTCAAAAACCGTGTCTCTGAAGCAGATCATGTGCGTAGCCCAGCCTGTGGTAGGAAAGTCAGCCCTCCCTCAGGATGAAAGGTGCTTGCAGAACCTCCACCCACACACCTTCCACACAGGGGTTTCTGATGCTTTTGCAGAACTGAAAGAATTGGAATAGAGATACACTGATTTCCACAGAAATTCTAAGGGAATCACTGTAAATTGTCTAAAACCACTTTAAGTACTGTGATCTAACAACCACATTTTCAAAGTCACGTTTTTTTGGACTGCTTTGGCTGCTATCTGCTATGGCTGACAGAATTCTGAAACACACACTAGTGCTTTTAAAGTGTGCACGGGAATCACCAGCTCATTACTGCTTAATTCTGTTGCATCATTTCTTAAGGAGTTGTTACTGAGATAGGAAACTGGAAATGAGAATTATATTAGTAACAATTTTTTTTAAAGAGAAAATGCTTTTTTTTTTTGAGACGGAGTCGCGCTCTGCGGCCCAGGCTGGAGTGCAGTGGCACGATCTCAGCTCACTGCAAGCTCCGCCTCCCGGGTTCACGCCATTCTCCTGCCTCAGCCTCCCAAGTAGCTGGAACTACAGGCACCCGCCACCAAGCCTGGCTAATTTTTTTTGTATTTTTAGCAGAGACGGGGTTTCACCGTGTTAGCCAGGATGGTCTTGATCTCCTGACCTTGTGATCTGCCCTCCTCGGCCTCCCAAAGTGCTGGGATTACAGGTGTGAGCCACCGCGCCCGGCCGAGAAAATACATTTTAAATATTACCAGTTAACATAGTGATTCCTTGTCAAACTAGACTATAGGCTCCTTGAAGGCATGAAAATAATTTTGTTGTCTATATCTCCTGATTACCAAATTCGGTGTCAGGAACTCGAAACTAATCATAGGCCATCAAAATATGTTAGATTGATGGCTGAGAAAGGCTGAATCATTCTGATATTTTAAAAATAATTCAAAGTAATTGTGTCTTGAAAGTGATAACTGAGTTTTAAAATATTCAATATGCCACTTATTCTGTGGAAAAGAACTAATAGTCTGCTAAACCTTTGCTTATTACTTTTATCTGACTTTCCTCTCTTTTCCCCTTCCACCTTCCCTTTCCGTTTTTTTTCCCTACCTTTGCTGCTCCCTTACAAAAAGATTCAGGGCAGACCTACGTGGAATGGACAGGATCCAGTTCCCTCTGTTGGACACACCCACGCCTCTTGCATGACTCCTCCCACTCCTGCCCCGACTCCCACTCCCCTGGCTAATTCCTAGTTTTCTTTATCGCTCAGCTCTGACTCTGCTTCTTCATGGCAACCTTTTTTGATAGCTCCAGCCTGCTAAGATGGCTTCGTGCGTGTTAAGACAGCATCTTGCACTTAGCTTTTTCCGTAGCACCCACCACAACTAATATGAATGCTTCATTTGTAAAAACTGTGGAACTCTATTTCCATGCACAAATGATCTCTGGAATATGCTTAATATGACATCTGACGACACTCCATCATCCTGGTCCCTTTTCTTTCTCCAATTTTTTCCGCTGTTGGGAATACCATTTCCTCTTCTTGACACATTTGTAATGTTTAGTCTTGCGACTTTCTGTAACTTTTCATGGAAAAACAATCTTCATATTTTTCTCTGAATCCTATCCTTTTAATTTTTCTTTCCCTATCTGGCTCATAGGCATAGAAGGTAGTGAAGATGGCCAGGCACGGTGGCTCACGGTGTAATCCCAGCACTTTTGGAGGCCAAGGTGGGAGGATCACTTGAGGTCAGGAGTTTGAGACCAGCCTGACCAACATGGTGAAGCCCTATCTCTACTAAAAATACAAAAATAAAAATTAGCCAGGCTTGGTGGCAGGTGCCTGTAATCCCAGTTACTCGGGAGGCTGAGGCAGGAGAATCACTTGAACCCAGGAAGTGGAGGTTGCAGTGAGCTGAGATCGAGCCACTGCACTTCAGCCTGAGTCTCTGCCCTTTCCACCTTTATTCAAGAAGCCCCTATGGTGTCTGGTCGTCCTTAAGATTAAACACAAATTTCTATGCATGAATTTTTGGGGCTACATCACACAATGCCATGCTACTGATACCCTTAGCTACTCTAAACCACTCTTTCTTGTCTAGGCAAGAATTCAACAACCCTCTCTTCAGGATGGGCCCATGACTTTGTGTCTTTTCAGCTTTTAAAACTCAAGTCCTGAGACACTTTTTTTTTTTTTTTTTTTTTTTTTTTTGGTGAGACAGTCTCGCTGTCGGCCAGGCTGGAGTGCAGTGGCACGATCTCGGCTCACTGCAACCTCCACCTCTCGGGTTCAAGCGATTCTCCTGCCTCAGCGTCCTGAGTAGCTGGGACTACAGGCGTGTGCCACCACGCCTGGCAATTTTTTTTTTTGTTTTGTATTTTTAGTAGAGATGGGGTTTCACTGTGTTAGCCAGGATGGTCTCAATCTGCTGACCTCATGATCCGCCCGCCTCGGCCTCCCAAAGAAGTGCTGGGATTACAGGCATGAGCCACTGTGCTCAGCCAAGACACTTTTATCAGTCTCACTCTATCCAAGAAAGTAATCACATATGAGAAAAATAAATCTCCCTGAATGGCCAGATTTCCAATATACTGGAAAACGATTGAAGACTTACTAGAGCCTGCACCCATGAAAACAAAACAATAATAGAGGAAAGAAAATTATCTTAATAGATATTGTAGGCACATCCATAGATGATGTAATAAAGTTACTCTTCTTGTTTTGTTTTGTTTTTGAGACAGAGTTTCACTCTTGTCTCCCAGGCTGAAGTGCAGTGGTGCGATCTCCGCTCACTGAAACCTCTGCTTCCTGGGTTCAAGCAATTCCCCTACCTGGGATTACAGGCATACACCACCACGCCCAGCTAATTTTGTATTTTTAGTAGAGATGGGGTTTCACCATGATGGTCAGGCTGGTCTTGAACTCCTGACCTCAGGTGATCCACCCACCACAGCCTCCCAAAGTGCTAGGATTACAGGCGTGAGCCACCACGCCGGGCCTATTTTTTTTTTTTTCTGTACTTTAAAGTGGTCATATTTCCCTTTTAAATTCATTGATAACTTTGAGATATATTCTCACATCTAATTCTGCTGTGATGAAGCACACAGCTGGGAGTAAACATTTATACATGCTACTGGAAGGTTTCTGTTAATTCAGGTCATGTGGGATTCTGTAATGAATTCATTTTCATTACTCTAATATTGTATAATAAGACACACCTGTAATATAAGTTAAAACATTTATAATAAGATATACATTACAAGGACCTTTTGACATTACAAAGAAAGAAAAGGTACATATTAGTGATAATTTTAACAAGTGGATGTATAAACCATATATTTTCTCACATATGCTAATTACTGTACTATGAATAGCCAATGACTGATTGCAAAATATTTTGCAGATGTCAAATCTGTGCAAATACTTATCATCCTAAGTATTTCAAAAATGATAGTCAAAGGCATAGACAGAAAAAAGAGAAACACTCCAATTATGATTAATAAATGAACAAAGGAAATACATTACCTATGAAACACTAAAAGCAAATGTGTTTTTTATTACATCTAATGAGACTATGACTGATAATATAGGAATCTAATATGGCAAGCTGCCTTTAATTCACAAACAAACAGGGGAGTCATGCTGTTTATTAAAATGCTATCTGTGAGGAAAGCCAAGCTGGTAAATGTATGTCATGCCAAAAATGACACTGTTTTGAAATTTATGAAGTATCTGTAAAATGTATGGAGTGGTGTTTTAAAAGAAAAAACTACATTGTCTATAAAAATATTACTACTTTTGATCATCTCTTTGATATGTTCAGGTGTGTTAGGTTAATCCAGCTTTAAAATTAGGTAAAGGAAAGAAGAAACTTCTTTATTGAGCACTCTGGATGCCAAATGTTATCAATAGGTGACCTATCCCCCCCCCCCCCCAATCTATTTATTCATCTATCTATCTTGTATTTATCTACCTTCTCATGTCTGTGAGGCAGGTATTATTCCCCACTATTAAAGATGAAGACACAGCAGCGATGGCCCATAAAACCTTGTCTAATGTCACCAGAGCAAACTGGGAGCTTGGACTCAGACCTGCTGGTTTCCAGCCTAGGTAACTTCTTCTGTGATGACAGCTTTGTTTGCAGTGATGACCACATTGCATCATGATGGTCTTTTTGGCTGCTACCCTCTCCAACGGATTATAGGTTCTTAGTTGCAGGGGTAGTCACATAATAATTATGATATCCACATCCACCAGCAACATGGCTGGCACATAGCAGGCCCTCAGCAAATACATGTTTAATTGAACTGAAAACATGTTGCCTGCACTGGTTTCACAGCATTATAAATCCAGATATTTCAACAGTCTACATCTTGCAAAATACAGTGAAATGGAGACAAGGACTGGTGTGAACTAACCTAAATGCTATGTGGTGGCCAATTCTTTACCAGCATCCTCATTATTAAGTTAAACATCACCTGACATCAACTCAATTCACATGAGAACAAGGGGAACTTTCACCCATTACTTTTTTTATTTTGGCAAGTGTGGTTTCCATGTCCTTTTTTTCCACCCAAATATTTATTTCCCCAACACTAGGAAAATTGTATTTCTCCTGTTTCCAAACAATAGTAGTCACTGGTTCAGCTTGTTACAATTTTATATCTTCACAATGTGCTAGTATGCCTGAAATTCACACAAAGTAAATAAATTCTATTAGCACGAGGTAGTTATTTTTATCATCCCGGTCATACATGTAAGGAAATGTTACAATTCACAGTGAATGTTGCTGGCATGCAGACAGAGACCACAGGAAACAGAGATATATTTAAACTGACAGGGGCTTTATGCCTTAAGCTTTATCAGGACATACAGGGGAAAGTCCCCTTTTTAACTAGAGTTCATTGCCCTGACTTGTACAAAAAATTATTTTCCCTGTAGCTACCCCTGCAGGCCAGTAAAGTAAAAATTTAGCTCAAGTAAAAATCATCACCAAGGCCTCCCTAGGACCTTCCAGTCTGTAATTTTTTGTTCCCACTGGCCACCAGCCTACTGCTGGATACCATACCAATCAGAGCAACAGAAGGACACTGGAGAGGGAATAAATGCATTTTCTCCTTTTCCCCTTAACGAACAACCCCTCTCTTTTAACATAAGGTGAGGATATTAAGCTGATAGTTTTCACATTTACCAATCATCAAAAAAAATTAAAATTCCACTGTGTCTGTTGGGATTGAAGCTAGAAAATGACTTTATTGGCCAGGTGCAGTGGCTCATGCCTGTAATCCCAGCACTTTGAGAGGCTGGAGGATCACTTGAGGCCAAGTTTGAGGCCAGCTGGCCAACATGGTGAAACCCCATCTCTACCAAAAAATACAAAAATTAGCTGAGAGTGGTGGCACACGCCTGTAGTCCCAGCTACTTGGGAGGCTGAGGAAATAGAATCACTTGAACCCAGGAGACGGAGGTTGCAGTGAGCTGAGACGGTACCACTGCACTCCAAGCCTGGGCAACAGAGCAAGACCTGAAAAAAAAAAAAAGAATGAAAGAAAGAGAGAGAGAGGGAGAGAGGGAGGGAGGGAGGGAGGGAGCGAGGGAAGAAAGGAAGGGGGAAAAAAAGAAAAGAAAAAGAAAAAAGAAAAGAGGACTTTATTTCTAAAGTAAGTAAACAGCCCTGAACAGGAGATGGCAAACTATGGCTTCAGGCCAAATCTAGCCCTCCACCTCCTTTTGTATGTTTCACAGACTAGGTTTTTTGTTGTTGTTGTTTGTTTCTTTTTTAAAGGATGAAGAAGGTATGAGCTGTTAAGGCGTTTACATGATCACATTTAATCTGGCTGTAATCTAAGGCCTTGACTCTTGACCAGGGAACGGAAATTTTTTTTTTTCTGTAAAGGGCCAGATATAAAATATTTTCAGTTTTTTAAACTATACACATTTGCATATTTTTCTCCCGCCCCCAAACCCTTAAATAATGCAAAAAAAAAAAAAAAATTGCTGGGGGCTATACAATATCAGAAAAACGTCTGTGGGCCAGATTTGGCCAGCAGGCAGGTTTTTGCTGGTCCCTGGCCTAAGGAATGGTTGACCTCAAGATAGAATAGAAACTGAATCACCACATGGAGGAAAGCTCCCCACCAACCAAGGATTCTTCACATCAGCAGCCTCTGCCATGGACCATTGTGTGACTGAGAAATAAACATCTTCTGTATTTGAGCCAGGATGTATGTTTAGGTCTAGGTGTTACAGAAGCTAGGTTAACCTAACTAATACAGAGAAGATAGCTAAGGCAGGGCATCCGAAAAGATGACAGGTAAACACAAATCTGAAGGAGAAAGCCAGGCAGATGTTTGGGAGAAGAGAATTACAAGCAGAGGCCCCAGAGTCAGGAGCACATCTCTAGTGTTTGAGGAACAGAGAGAAGCGAGTGAGTCTGGATTAGAATGCTCAGGAAGAAGGCTATGGGGATTTGAGTTTACAGAAGAAAGAGGCAACTAAATTTTGTAGAACCTCACAGATTATGGCTTGGTTTTATTTAGAGGGAAACGGGAAGCTTCTAGAAGGTTCTGAGTTGAGTAGTGACATGACAATGCTGTGGTAACAATGGTTTCACTCTGACTGCCTTACTGAAGATGCATAAAGGGGATCTCTGGTGGAATTGGGAGACCAGTTAGGAGACTACTGCAATCATTCAAGAGAAAGATGATGGAGACTGGGAATAAAATTGCAGCAATGGAGAAGGTAAAGCCCACAGGACGTGCTGAAGATGGGGTGTGGCATAAGAGAAAAAGAGAGAACTTCAAGATGACGTCATTTTTCTTGTCCTGGGTAAAGTTGATATTTACTGAATTGAAAACGAATAGAGAAAGAGGAGGTTTGGGAAGTATAAGGTGCTCAGTTTTCTGTATGTTAAGTGTGAGATGTCTGTTAGAAATCAAAAGGAGGTCACATTAGCAGTTGGATATGCAAGTCTAGGATTCAAGGGAGAGGCTAATGGGATTCCTGTCTAATATATGTTCTTTTCTGCACTACTCCTATGACAATTTTTATTGCATTGGTCTATATATTTGTTGCATTATTTTCCTCTCCTAGTTTGCTTACTCACTGAAGAAAGAACCAATTATTAAAAACAATTTTGTATACTGTATGGCACACAGTACAGGTAATAAATGTTTAAAAAAATAAATTAATAAGTGTATTTAGGCAAGTCCACAAACACTAGAGAAAGTGCGTTCCTGGGTAAAGTTGTCAGATCTGTAAAAAATAGTAATTGTCCATAATGTTTCTACTCTGAAATAGAAACATTTAAAATAGGGAGGATCAAAGAGCTTTAGAAAATAATGAAGAGCCTATGTCCAAAAACTTCACAATTCCTCTGGGTAAATGTAATCTTAACTAAAATTTAGGATCATTGCTATAAAACTAAAATCATATTTGTTGTGTGAAAATATCATTACGATTATATTTGATATCCAACTTTTATGGGAACCTACCACCCATTAAGCATTTTATTCCCTCTCTTGCTCTTGAGATCTGTTTGTGAAGGTTATGTCCACTTAATAGTGAAAAATAATCTGAACTGTTATATTTTTCCAAGAGAAATAAGAAAAAAATTGAAAGGCAGAAATCACTATCACACTATATGATGAGTCTTTGCATCTTCTGAAATAATATAGAATACATTTATTTTATTTTCAGGAACAAAACCAATTCTGCTACAAATGAATTAGGGTTCATAGCTCTCCTTAGGAAAATAAATCATAGCAGGTATTAAATAACATTTTGGATTCTCAAATGTATTTCAGCGTCTTTTTTCTAGCATCTTAATGAGGACCTTTGAGCAATGTGGTGTTTTTTGCCATTTGCACCTGTGAGTAGGCTGTGGCGGGTGGAAATGAAACTTCGTGTTTTAAATAGATTGAGGAGTAAGAAGGCATCTTTTGCAGGTTAAGGCAATTACTCAGTTTTCCTGGATGTGACAAATTTTCATTGTTACAGAACATAACCCTCCGCACGAAATGGAGGTACATACCTACTTGTTTGGCAGCTTAAGCAACTGACTCGTTTTTCTTTTCCCCATCCTCCACAACCGTCAGACACACGTACACGTTCCTCCTTACCCACCCTCTCCAACACAAAAAATCCAAACAGCCTATTGTCCTGGCATCTCATCTGGTTTAGAATTATTTATGGTTTCTGCATTTTTAATTAATGAATGCTTTGGAAAATGTCCTACTCCACTGAATAAATATATTAGTAATAGCATAATACATATATTGTTTATGGATATTTTTATAGAGCTTTGGATATCAGGTCTTTGGTGAAAAATGCAACTTCATAGGATAAAGCTACTTCAGAAACTCATTTGATATAATGAATGCTTTTTAAACTTAGATGCGTCTCCAAGGAATTAACTGAAGTCACCGAAGACATCCATGCCAAGTTTAAATAACACTTTGGTTACAAAGATTTTCTTACATTTTTTATCTTTTTGAATTAAACATATATCTGTTAGAAAATCTAGTATTTTAAACAATTATTTTGTAAAGCAAGATTGCCTATTGAGTTCTCTGGAAAGCAGGCCCTACAGTGGGGTTTAGCGTTTAAGATGTTTTAAAGCAGCGTGCTCTGCGTATGCCTGAGACCTCTAGCAGGGAGGGAGAGTAATTGGCATAGGAAGAAAGAGAAGATGGACTGAGATACAGGCCTGGCACCCTCAGCCCAACCAGGTGCTTTGGAGCTTCATTAGGCTATCACAGTTTTCCCATTTTAGGCCTAAATGGCCACACTATTATACCTATGCTTTGAACACCAAGGCATGTGGCCTCCCCAAAGGTTGTGACCTTGAGTCGCGTGTCCCTGCAGCTGAAGCAATCTCAGGAGGTGCTGACAGCTGAATGCTGTCATAGTCTCAGCAGTGAGGTCCACAAGCCTTCCCTAAAGGGGATCTGCGTGGTACATCTTCATATTCACCACTAGCAACTTATCAAGGTAAAATAATGAAATAATATCTTTAAATAAAAATGATTACTCTTATTTATTATCAGCTATGAGCAGACACTCTAAAAAGGTTCTATATGAAGAATGTCATTTAATAGCTACACAACTCTATCACCTACCAAATTATTTTAGCTCCATTTTATGAATAAGGAAACTTGGACACATAACACTGAAAGGTCACATGAATAGAATTTGAACCTGGGGACTCTAGCTGCAAATATGGAAATTTTTAACCCTACAGTACAGGTGCCTTCCAAAAGGAATGCAAAACAGAACATAAGGCAATAAATCATCCTGAATGTCCCAAATTCATTTTTGGTTAAGTGTACCTGTTTCCATTTAGATTTTGTAAGCTGAATTATATTTGTATAAAAAAAAATTTCTCTAATTATGCTATTGGACACAAGAGGGTGACCCTCATAGTGATTTATGTTTGATGTCAAAGACAGGACAAACACAAATGAATACATAAAAACTGATGTGGAAAAAAAGCAAATAAACCAACATCTCCATTCAATAGTACAACCTGTTTAACCAGCAATCTAAGAAGGCTGAATGATTGCAGATCCTTGAAATAAACTTTTATGTTTATACCTTATCATCAGGTGACTCAGCGTAATAAATATATAACAATAAAATTTAATTTAGAGATCTAATTCTCAAAGAAATGGAAAGTGTTAATGAAACAACTTAAAATATATTACCATGTATTTTGCAGGCATTTAAAAATGTCTTGTAAATTTGAAAATGTACAATGCACTTATTTCCCAAAAGAATATTCTGTATAAACTTCAACCAATATTTTTTATTAAATACAAATTAAATATTAAATTTATTTATTATAAATTAAAAACTAATGTATAATATTAGAAAAGAAATATCCAAACATTGAGAGCTATCAGTTTGTGGACTACTTTTGCACAGGATGTGATACACACTGACACTACAGTTACTAAAGCCAAGACTAGGCAAAACATGTATACTGGGACTAGAAAGAGCACAGGACAAGTTGCCCGAGTGGTTCATTTCTATTTCTGAATTTCTAGAATTTCTGAATTTCTATTATAAAGGACTCATTAAATAGATACAGAACATATTTTTAATAAACAGTTTATTAAACATTACAATCACTTTTTAAAAAGTTTTATTTTGTTTTATTTCCAAGATGGTAAAAAAGAGGATTTTAGTGTATCTCAGACACTTGGAAATAGCACGATAGTGCATAAAGATCAACTCTGTGAGATTTTTTTTTTTTTTTTCAAGATGGAGTCTTGCTCTGTCACCTAGGCTGGAGTGCAATGGCGCGATCTCGGCCTACTGCAACCTTCGCCTCCCAGGTTCATGCAATTCTCCTGCCTCAGCCTCCCAAGCAGCTGGGATTACAAGCATGTGCCACCACGTCTGGCTAAGTTTTGTATTTTCAGGAGAGATGACATTTCACCATGTTGGCCAGGCTGGTCTTGAACTCCTGACCTCAGGTGATCCCCCTGTCTCAGCCTCCCAAAGTGCTGGGATTACAAGCATGAGCCACTGTGCCTGGCTCAAGCTTTAATTAAAGAAGGAAAATGAGAATCCACCAGAATCATGAAGGACACCCCACACTCTGGGGAGGAACATACCATCATACAGTCCGTGTGATGGTATGCAGCTGAAAAAAGAGAGTGAAGCTCCAGTACGTGAGAGGGGAAGACAGTCTCTCTCTGTAACTCACCCTATCACTGGGAATCTATTCCAGGCCGAGGGAGAGCACTTTGTTTCTTCCAAGCCCTGGAGCTAATGTGGGGAGAGGCTTGGAGATGCTGTGAGGGAAAGATACTGGGAAAAGCTGCAGACATTTTCCCAGACCCAGGACCAAGAGCGGGACATCATTTTTCATCTGACAGCATAAAAAGTCAGTCTTTCTTTGGTGACCTGGCAGCATGGCTGTGCAGGCATTTTAGTCTCAGGTCAGAAATTGCAGCATCTGTTCTGGAGTAGGGTAAGAGTCTCCATAGCCGGAACTGTGGAAAGTACCTCAGCAGAACATGCTAGAATTGTGTTGTCCCCCACTGCATGCCTGGGGCAGGAGGAGAGCTGCTACAGCTGCAGTTTCTCTTTAGCGACAAGACTTTCAGCCAGGGCCACCTTGGCAACCTGGAACCAGTAGGCACATGCCATTGCTTGGTGCCCCCAGCTGTTTTCCTGAGATCATGATGCAGTGGGGCCCTCTCCACTCCACTCCTAGACAGGAATCCAGGCATTTGGATCCCCTACTTACCTGGATCAGCAGCTTGAGCTGCCCCAACTTTCATGGAACTTTCATGGACATAGATTGTGTTATAGTAAGGACTCTCTGATCCACACTCAGGCAGATTTCTAGGTTTTCAGATCACCCTTTGGCTTGAATCAGCAGCCTGAGCTGCCCTACCCTTCCTGTGCATAGATCAAAATGCAGTGGGGGTTTTGCTCCACGTGTAGGCAGATCTTCAGACATTCAGAGCACCCACTTGCATGGACTAGCAACCTGAGTTGTCCTACCCTTCCTGTGCGGAGATTCTGGTACAGAGGGGCCCTCTCTTCTTTACATCCAGACAGATCACCAGGCACTCAGAGCACTCGTTCACCTAGTCCAACAGTCCTATCCCCACCTTTCCTGGGCATAGATTGTGAGGCAGTGGGGCCCTCTCTGCTCTATGCCTAGGCAGATCTTGAGGCATTCAGAGCACTCACACACCTGAATCAGCAATCTGACTCACCCTACCCTTCCTGTGCAGAGATCTTGGTGCAGGGGGGGCTCTCTCTGCTCCACGTCCAGACAGATTTCCAGGGATTTGGAACACCTACTCACCAGGAACAGTAACCTGACCTGCCCTACCCTTCCTGTGCAGAGATTCTTGTGCAAGGAGATCTCTTCATTCCACTCTCAGGCAGATCTCCACATATTTGGAGCACCCACTCTCCTAGATTAGGAGTTCAGGCTGTCCCTCTTCCCACGTAGAGAACTTGGAGCCAAGGAGGTTTCCCAGCTCCACACCTAGGCACACCTCTCGGTGTTTGGTGGCCAACCACTGGATTCTCTCTCAGAGAAGGTGCTTGTGCTTGCCATTAGGGGACCTATAGGCAGACCTGCCCAGTCTTGCCCCACCCATCTTGGCCCACACCTCCCAGGGCTGAGCAGGGAGCTCAGACTATTGTGTGCTCCACAAATCAGGCCATTGCATGAAGCAACAGAGAGCTTCTCCCAGTAAACAGGGATCAAGTATACACCCAGCCACATTGGCCATGGCTGGCTCTTCCTAAAAGTGCCATTGGCTGGCTTGTAGATAAAACTGCACATTCCAAAACAAGGCAGAAGTGCATGGAAGCTATAGAAGCAAAGCCAAAAGACCCTACTCACCATTCTCTAGTCACATGCCCTAGGGAGAAAGGGAAAGAAAAAAATAATAATATTACAGAAAAAAAGAAGGGTTCAATTCAACTTGAAAGCTTAACTATCCTAAATTAAACAACTTGCTCCTGAATGACTTTAGGTAAATAACAAAATTAAGGCAGAAATAAAAGAAAAATCTTTGAAATAAACAAAAACGGAAACATAACATACCAAAATTTCTGGCATTCAGCAAAAGCAGTGTTAACAGGAATTGTTTATAGTGCTGAATGGCTACCTCAAAGAGGTAGAGATGTCTCAAATTAATGGCCTAACACCACATTTAGTGGAATTAGAAATGAGGAACAAACTAACCCTTACCTTAAAAGAAGAAAAGAAAGAAGTAAAATCAGAGCAGAACTGAAGGAAACTGAGACTCAAAAATCAACACAAAGAGCAATGAAAGCAAAAGTTTGTTTTTTGAAAGGATAAACAAGATCAATAGACAGCTAGCTAGATTAACCAAGGAAAAAATGACAGAGAAGATCCAAATAATTACAATCAGAAATGACAAATGTAACATTATGACTAATCCCACAGAACTACAAAATATCCTCAGACACTATTATGAACACCTCTATTCACAAACTAGAAAATCCAGTGGAAATAAATAAATTCCTGGAAACACACAGTCTTCCAAGATTTAACCATGTGTTAGTCTGTTCTAATGCTGCTCAAAAAACATACCTGAGACTGGGTAATTTATAAAGGCAAGAGATTTAATGGACTCACAGTTCCACATGGCTGAAGAGGCCTCACAATTATGGTGAAAGATGAAGGAGGAACAAAGGGATGTCTTACATGGCAGCAGGCAAGAGTGCTTGTGCAAAGGAACTCTCGTTTATAAAACCATCAGATCTCATGAGACTTATTCACTACCATGAGAAGAGTGTGAGGGAACCACCCCCATGATTCAATTATCTCCACCTGTCCCCACCTTGGTATGTGGGGATTATTAAAATTCAAGATGAGATTTGAATGGGGACACAGCCAAACCATATGAAATCAGGAAAAAATTAAAACCTTGAACAGACCAATATGAGTTCCAAAGTCAAATCAGTAATAATAAGTCTACCAACCAAAAAAGACCCAGACCAGATGGATTTACAGACAAATTCTACCAGATGTACAAAGAAGAGCTGGTACCCATCCTACTGAAAATATTCCAAAAAATCAAGGAGAAGGACTCTCTAACTCATTCTATGAAGCTAGTGTCACCTGGAGACCAAAACATGGCAAAGACACAATGAATAAAAAAATCCTCAGGCCAATATCTCTAATGAACATAGACAAAAAAAAATCCTCAACAAAATACTAGTGAATTTAATTCAGGAGCACATCAAAAATTAATTCACCATAATTAAGTTGCCTTTATTCCAGGGAATGCAATCTTGGTTCAACATATGCAAATCAATAAATGTGATTCACCGGATAAAATTAAAAACAAAAATTATATGATTATCTTAATAGATGTAGAAAAATCTTTACATAAAATCTAACATCACTTCATGATAAAAACCCTCAAGAAACTAGGTCTCAAAGGAACATACCTCAGCGTACTGCATGGGCAAAAAGTGAAAGCATTCCCCTTGAAAACTGGAATAAGACAAGGATGTTCACTCTCACTACTCCTATTCGACATAGTACTGGAAGTGCTAGCCAGAGAAATCAGACAAGAGAAATAAATAAAAGGCATCCAACTAGGAAAAGAAGAAGTTAAACGATCTCTCTTTGGGGACTATAGGATTCTATACCTAGAAAAACCTGAAGACTCCACCAAAAGGCTCCTGGACTGATATATGACTTCACTGAAGTTTCAGGACAAAAAAACTTAATGTAAAAATATTGGTAGCATTTTCATATATCAATAACACTCAAGCTGAGAGCCAAATCAAGAACGTAATCCATTTTAATAGCCACACACAAAAATAAAATACCTAGGAATACATCTAAGCAAGGAGGTGAAAGATCTCTACAGGAAAAACTATGATACACTGCTGAAATAACTCAGATGTGACACAAACAAACAGAAAAACATTCCATGCTCATGGATTGGAAGAATCAATATCATTAAAATGGCCACACTGCTCAAAGAATCTGCACATTTAACAATACTTCTATCAATCTACCAACATAATTTTTCACAGAACTAGAAAAAAACTATTCTAAATTCATATAGAACCAGTAAAGAGCCCAAATAGCTAAAGCAATCCTAAGCAAAAAGAACAAAGCTTAAGACGTCATTCACCCTACTTGACTTTATACTATGAGGTATGATAATCCAAACAGCAATGTCCTGGTTCAAAAACAGACACATAGAGCAATAGAACAGAATAGAGAACCCAAAAATAACACCACACACCTACAGCCATCTGATCTTCAACAAAATAAGCAATGGGGAAAGAACTCCCTATTTGATAAATGATGCCAGCACAGCTGACTAGCCAAATGCAGAAAGACGAAACTGGACTCCTCCCTTTCACCATATTAAAAATTAACGCAAAGTGGATTAAATATTTAAATGTGAGACCTCAAACTTTAATAATCCTAGAAGAAAACCTAGGAAATACCATTCTAGTTATTGACCTTGGGAAATAATTTATAACTAAGTTCTCAAAAGCAATTACAACAAAACAAAAATTGACAAGTGGGACCCAATTAAACTAAAGAGCATCTGCACAGCAAAAGAAACTATCAACAGAGTAAACAGACAACCTACAGAATGGGAGGAGATATTTTCAAGCTTTATCTGACAAAGATCTAATGTCCAGAATGTATAAAGAACTTAAACAATGCAACAGGCAAAAAAAAAAAAAAAACAAACCCCATTTAAAAAATAGTCAAAAGACATGAACAGACACTTCTCAAAAGAAGACATACAAGTGGCCAAGAAACATGAAAAAAATGCTCCACATCACTAATCAGCAGAGAAATGAAAATTAAAATCACGATGACACAGCATTTCACACCACTCAGCATGGCCGAGTGTAATGGCTCATTCCTGTAATCCCAGCACTTCGGGAGACCAACATGAGTTGATTGCTTGAGCTCAGGAGTTCCAGACCAGCCTGAGAAACATGGTGAAACCCCTCCTCTACAGAAATAAAAAAAAAAAAAAAATTAGCCTTTGTAGCACATGCCTGTATTCCCAGCTACTGGGGAGGCTGAGGTGAGAGGATCTCTTGAACCTAGGAAGCAGAGGTTGCAGTGAGCAGAGATCACACCACTGCACTACAGCCCAGGCAACAGAGTGAGACAGTCTCAAAAAAACAAACAAACAAACAAACAAACAAACAAAAACAAAAAAAAGGTTATTACTAAAAAGTCAAAAAACTACAGATGCTGGAGAAGCTGAGGAGAAAAAAGGTAATGCTTATACACTGCTGGTGGGGAACGTAATTTATTTGAGCCACTGTGAAAAGCAGTTTGGAGATTGCTCAAAAAAAAAAAAAAAAAAGCTCAGAACTACCATATGATCTAGCAATCCCATTACTGGGTATATATCCAAAGGAAAATAAATTGTGCTGCCAAAAAGACACATGTATTTGCATGTTCATCGCAGCACTAGTCACAACAGCAAAGACTAGAATCAATCTAGGTGCCTATCAGTGGTGGACTGGATTAAAAAAATGTGATACATGTATACCATGGAATGCTATGCATCCATAAAAAGAATGAAATGATGTCCTTTGAAGCAACATGAATGCAGCTGGAGGCCATTATCTTAAGCAAAATAATGCAGGAACAGAAAACCAAATATCACATGCTTTCACTCTTAAGTGGGAACTAAATTTTCAGTACCTGTGGACATAAAGATGGCAACAATATAAACTGGCATCTACTAAAGGAGGGAAGAAAGGGTGGAAAAGGGCTGGAAAAGTACTTGGCTACTATGCTCAGTACCTGGTGATGGGATCAATCATACTTCAAACCTCAGCATTATGTAATATACCTAGGTAACAAACTTGCACATGTACCCCATGAATCTAAGAGGAAATTAGAAATTATAAAAAAAATGACAACCCATGAACAACCACTAAAATATATTTATCTTATTTTATGGGTTACTCATTTCATTATAAAGGCTTTATGAACTTACCTAAGGAATTTACAATATAATGGGCAATCTTTTTTTGCTGTTTTGTTTCTTTTGTTGTTGTTTTAAATACAATTATTTATTTAAGCAATTATTAAGCAAATAATGCAAATTGTTAAGCAAAAGAGCTTTCATAACAATGCTTGTTCTTCTGGCTTGGAAAGCTCTGCAGCCTAATCAGAGAGCCTGTGTTTTACTACTTTAATCAACTTCCCTTGTGTACTCTGGACAGCCTCAAAATTATTCAATTATCACATCTCTCAAACTGCATTTTCTTAAATCAGGCACAGAAACTCACTTTGGTGAGAAAGTAAGAGGGCCTTGTGCAAAAAGCCTTTTCTTTTGTAAAGCAGTACAGCCAAGTTTAGGACCTGACCAAACAATACAGAATAGAGGTATTTCCACAGACATTTTACAACTTGCTAACTTATCAAAACTCTCCCTCCTTCCCCAGCCCTCACCTCCACCCCACACACTGAGTTAACTCTGCTTGAGAACACATCTAGTCATTCCCCCTCAGGACCACACTTGAAATATAAATGACCGTTAAAAATTGGCTATATTCAAAAGCACTAGAGATGTGTACCTTTCAGAGAGAATGCTGGGAGATGTAGATTTCATACTGCAACGTGAGCCTTTTGCCCTTTTTCTGTCTTCATGGGAATTATGAACAATTTTCCACTTTGTTTCGGTGATCATTTTTTCATTTGGTCATGATGACCTCAATATTATGCTACTTCCCCTTTTTAGCTCTGTGCTGAATAATTGCAAATTTTTAAACTTGCCTTATTTTTCTATTTTTTAAATAATACTTTAAATTCTGAGATACATGTGCAGAACGTGCAGGTTTGTTACATAGGTATACATGTGCCATGGTGGTTTGCTGCACCCATCACCCCGTCATCTACATTAGCTATTTCTCCTAATGCTATCCCTCTCCTATCCCCTCACCCACCAACAGGCCCTGGTGTGTGATGTTCTGCTCCCTGTGTCCATGTGTTCTCACTGTTCGACTCCCACTTATGAGTGAGAACATGTGGTGTTTCATTTTCTGTTCCTCTGTTAGTTTGCCGACAGTGATGGTTTCCAGCTTCATCCATGTCCCTCCAAAGGACATGAACTCATCCTTTTTATGGCTGCATAGTATTCCATGGTTTATATGTGCCACATTTTCTTCATCCAGTCTATCATTGATGGGCATTTGGGTTGGTTTCAAGTCTTTGCTATTGTGAATAGTGCTGCAATAAACATACTTGTGTGTGTCATTACAGTAGAATGATTTATACTCCTTTGGGTAACTTCTGGTTCTAGATCCTTGAGGAATCACCACACTGTCTTCTATAATGGTTGAACTAATTTACTCTCCCACCAACAGTGTAAAAGCATTCCTATTTCTCCACATCCTCTTCAGCATCTGTTGTTTCTTGACTTTTTAATGATCACCATTCTAACTGGTGTGAGATGGTATCTCATTGTGGTTTTGATTTGCATTTCTCTAATGACCAGTGTTGATGAGCTTTTTTTCATGTTTGTTGTCTGCATAAATGTCTTCTTCTGAAAAGTGTCTGTTCATATCCTTTGCCCACTTTTTGATGGGGTCGTTATTTTTTTCTTGTAAATTTGTTTAAGTTCCTCGTAGATTCTGGATATTAGCCCTTTGTCAGATGAATAGATTGCAAAAATTTTCTCCCATTCTGTAGGTTGCCTGTTCATTCTGATGATAGTTTCTTTTGCTGTGCAGAAGCTCTTTAGTTTAATTAGATCCCATTTGTCAATTTTGGCTTTTGTTGCCATTGCTTTTGCTGTTTTAGTCATGAAGTCCTTGCCCATGACTACGTCCTGAATGGTATTGCCTAGGTTTTCTTCTAGGGTTTTTAAGGTTTTAGGTCTTACATTTAAGTCTTTAATCCATCTTGAGTTAATTTTTGTATAAGGTGTAAGGAAGGGGTCCAGTTTCAGTTTTCTGCACATGGCTAGCCAGTTTTCCCAACACCATTTATTAAACAGGGAATCCTTTCCCCATTGCTTGTTTTTGTCAGGTTCTTCAAAGATCAGATGGTTGTAGAGGTGTGGCATTATTTCTGACACCTCTGTTCTGTTCTATTGGTCTGTATATCTGTTTTGGTACCAGTACCATGCTGTTTTGGTGATGGCAATCTTGTAGTATAGTTTGAAATCAGGTAGCATGATGCCTCCAGCTTTGTTCTTTTTGCTTAGGATTGTCTTGGCTATATGGGCTCTTTTTTGGTTCTATATGAAATTTAAAGTAGTTTTTTCTAATTCTGTGAAGAAAGTCAATGGTAGCTTGATGGGTATAGCATTGAATCTATAAATTACTTTGGGCAGTATGGCCATTTCCACAATATGGATTCTTCCTATCCATGAGCATGGAATGTTTTTTCCATTTGTTTGTGCCCTTTCTTTTTTCCTTCAGCAGTGGTTTGTAGTTCTCCTTGAAGAGGTCCTTCACGTCACTTCTAAGTGGTATTCCTAGGTATTTTATTGTCTTTGTAGCAATTGTGAATGGGAGTTGACTCATGATTTGACTCTCTGTTTGTCTATTTTTGGTGTACAGGGATGGTTGTGATTTTTGCACATTGGTTTTGTGTCCTGAGACTTTGCTGAAGTTGCTTATCAGCTTAAGGAGATATTGGGCTGAGACAATGGGGTTTTCTAAATATACAATCATGTCTTCTGAAAACAGACAATTTGACTTCCTCTCTTTATATTTGAATACCATTTTTTTCTTTCTCTTTCTTGATTGCCCTGGCCGGAATTTCCGATACTACGTTGAATAGGAGTGGTGAGAGAGGGCATCCTTGTCTTGTGCCAGTTTTCAAAGGGAATACTTCCAGCTTTTGCCCATTCAGTATGATATTGTCTGTGGGTCTGTCATAAATAGCTCTTATTATTTTGAGATATGTTCCATCAATACGTAGTTTATTGAGAGTTTTTAGCATGAAGCGGTGTTGAATTTTATCGAAGGCCTTTTCTGCATCTATTGCGATAATCATGTAGTTTTTGTCATTGGTCCTGTTTATGTGATGGATTACATTTATTGATTTGTGTATGTTGAACCAGCTTGCATCTCAGGGATGAAGCCAACTTGATTGTGGTGGATAAGCTTTTTGATGTGCTCCTGGATTTGGTTTGCCATTATTTTATTAAGGATTTTTGCATCGATGTTCATCAGGGATACTGGCCTGAAATTTTCTTTTTTTGTTGTGCCTCTGCCAGGTTTTGGTATCAGGATGATGCTGGCCTTATAACATAAGTTATGGAGGAGTCCCTCTTTTCCTATTGTTTGGAATAGTTTCATAAGGAATGGTACCAGCTGCTCTTTGTACCTCTGGTACAATTCGGCTGTGAATCCATCTGGTCCTGGGCTTTTTTTGGTTGGTAGGCTATTAATTACTGCCTCAATTTCAGAACTTGTTATTGGTCTATTCAGGGATTTGACTTGTTCCTGGTTCAGTCTTGGGAGGGTGTATGTGCCAGGAATTTATCCATTTCTTCTAGATTTTCTAGTTTATTTGAATAGAGGTGTTTATAGTATTCTCTGATGGTAGTTTGCATTTCTGTGGGATCAGTCGTGATATACCTTTTATCATTTTTTATTGTCTCTATTTGATTCTTCTCTTTTTTCTTCTTTATTAGTCTGGCTAGCAGTCTATCTTTTTTTTTTTTTTTTTTTTTTTTGAGACAGAGTCTCACTCTTGCCCAGGCTGGAGTGCAGTCTATCTATTTTGTTGATCTTTTGAATAAACCAGCTCCTGGATTCCTTGATTTTTTGAAGGCTTTTTCATGTGTTCATCTCCTTCAGTTCTGCTCTGATCTTAGTTATTTCTTGTCTTCTGCTAGCTTTTGAATCTGTTTGCTCTTGCTTCTCTAGTTCTTTTAATTGTGATGTTAGGGGGTCAATTTTAGATCTTTCCAGCTTTCTCCTGCGGGCATTTAGTGCTATAAATTTCCCTCTAAACACTGCTTTAGCTGTGTCCCAGAGATTCTGGTACATCGTGTCTTTGTTCTCCTTGGTTTCAAAGAACTTATTTATTTCTGCCTTAATTTTGTTATTTACCCAGTAGGCATTCAGGATCAGGTTGTTCAGCTTCCATGTAGTTGTGCAGTTTTGAGTGAGTTTCTTAATCCTGAATTCTAATTTGATTGCACTGTGGTCTGAGAGACTATTTGTTATGATTTCCATTCTTTTGCATTTGCTGAGCAGTGTTTTACTTCCAATTATGTGGCCAATTATAGAATAAGTGCGAAGTGGTGCTTAGAAGAACGTATATTCTGTTGATTTAGGGTGGAGAGTTCTGTAGATGTCTATTAGTTCCACTTGGTCCAGAGCTGAGTTCAAGTCCTGAATATCCTTGTTAATTTTCTGTCTTGTTGATCTGTCTAATATTGACAGTGGGGTGTTAAAGTCTCTTATTATTATTGTGTGGGAGTCTAAGTCTCTTTTTAGGTCTCTAAGAACTTGCTTTATGAATCTGTATTGGGTGCTTCTGTATTGGGTGCATATATGTTTATGATAGTTAGCTCTTCTTGTTGTGTTGATCCCTTTACCATTATGTAATGCCCTTCTTTGTCTCTCTTGATCTTTGTTGGTTTAAATTCTGGTTTATCAGAGACTGGAATTGCAACCCTTGGTTTTTTTTTTTTGTTTGTTTTTTTTCTTTCCATTTGCTTGGTAAATCTTCCTCCATCCCTTTATTTTGAGCCTACGTGTGTCTCTGCATGTGAGATGGGTCTCCCGAATATGGCACACTGATGGATCTTGACTCTTTCTCCAATTTGCCAGTCTGTGTCTTTTAACTGGGGCATTTAGCCCATTTACATTTAAGGCTAATATTGTTATGTGTGAATTTGATTCTTTCATTATGATGCTCGCTGGTTATTTTGGCCATAGGTTGATGCAGTTTCTTCATGGTGTTAATGGTCTTTACAATTTGGTATGTTTTTGCAGTGGCTGGTACCGGTTGTTCCTTTCCATGTTTAGTGCTTCCTTCAGGAGCTCTTGTAAGGCAGTCCTGGTGGTGACAAAATTTCTCAGCATTTGCTTCTCTGTAAAGGATTTTATTTCTTCTTTGCGTATAAAGCTTAGTTTGGCTGGATATGAAATTCTGGGTTGAAAATTATTTTAAGAATGTTGAACATTGGCCCCCACTCTCTTCTGACTAATAGGGTTTCTGCAGAGAGATCCGTTGTTAGTCTGAAGGGCCTGCCTTTGTGGGTAACCTGAGCTTTCTCTCTGGCTGCCCTTAACATTTTTTCCTTCATTTCAACCTTGGTGAATCTGATAATTATGTGTCTTGGGGTTGCTCTTCTCGAGGAGTATCTTTGTGGTGTTCTCTGTGTTTCCTGAATTTGAATTTTGGCCTGTCTTGCTAGGTTGGGGAAGTTCTCCTGGAAAATATCCGGAAGGGTGTTTTCCAACTTGGTCCCATTCTCCCCGTCACTTTCAGGGACAACAATCAAACGTAGGTTTGGCCTTTGCACATAGTCTTATATTTCTTGGAGGCTTTGTTCATTCTTACTCATTTTTTTTCTCTAATCTTGTCTTCACGCTTTATTTCATTAAGTTGATCTTCAATCTCTGATGTCTTTTCTTCCACTTGATCAATTCAGCTACTGATACTTGTCTATGCTTCAAGAAGTTCTTGTGCTGTGTTTTTCAGCTCCATCAGGTCATTTATGTTCTTCTCGAAACTGGTTATTCTAGTTAGCAATTCCTCTAACCATTTTTCAAGGTTCTTAGCTTCCTTGCATTGGGTTAGAACATGCTCCCTTAGCTCGGAGGAGTTTGTTATTACCCACCTTCTGAATCCTACTTCTGTCAATTCGTCAAACTCATTCTCCATCCATTTTTGTTTCCTTGCTGGAGAGGAGTTGTGATCCTTTGCAGGAGAAGAGGCATTCTGGTTTTTGGAATTTTCAGCCTTTTTGTGCCGGTTTTTCCTCATCTTCGTGGATTTATCTACCTTTGGTCTTTGATGTTGGTGACTTTCGGATGGGGATTTTGTGTAGACATCCTTTTTATTGATGTTGGTGATATTCTTTTCTCTTTGTTAGTTTTCCTTCTAACAGTCAGGACCCTCTGCTGCAGGTTTGCTGGAGTTTGCTAGAGACCCACTCCAGACCCTCTTTGCCTGGGTATCACCATCAGAGGTTGCAGAACAGCAACCTGTTCCTTCCTCTGGAAGGAACAGATTGCTGCCTGTTCCTTCCTCTGGAAGGAACAGATTGCTGCCTGTTCCTTCCTCTGGAAGCTTCGTCCCAGAGGGACACCCGCCAGATGATAGCCAGAGCTCTCCTGTATGAGCTGTCTGTCGACCCCTGCTGGGAGGTGTCTCCCAGTCAGGAGGCACAGGGGTCAGGGACCCACTTGAGGAGGCAGTCTGTCCCTTAGCAGAGTTCGACCACTGTGCTGGGAGATCCACTGCTCTGTTTGGAGCCCACAGGCAGGAACGTTTAAGTCTGCTGAAGCTGCGCCCACAGCTGCCCCTTGCCCCAGGTGCTTTGCCCCAGGGAGATGGGAGTTTTATATATAAGCCCCTGACTTTGGCTGCTGCCTTTCAGAGATGCCTGGCCCAGAAAGGAGGAATCTAGAGAGGCAGTCTGGCTACAGTGGCTCTGCCGAGCTGCAGTGGGCCTTGCCTAGTTTGAATTTTCCGGCAGCTTTGTTTACACTGTGAGGGGAAAACCACCTACCCAAGCCTCAGTGATGTCAGATGCCCCTCCTCCAACCAAGCTTGAGCATCCCAAGTTGACTTCAGACTGCTGTGCTGGCAGTGAGAATTTCAAGCCAGTGGATCTTAGCTTGCTGGGATCTGTGGGGTTGAGATCTGCTGAGCTAGACCACTTGGCTCCCTGGCTTCAGCCCCCTTTCCAGGGGAGTGAACGGTTCTGTCTCACTGGCATTCCAGGTGCCACTAGGGTATGAAAAGAAACTCCTGCAGCTAGCTCAGTGTCTGTCCAAATGGCTGCGATGGGCAGTCTTTAAAGAGAAGGTAAACGCATTTGAAAGGGCTTGATATGTTATAACTGTCATATTCCCAAATAAATTATTTCCAAGATTTTTATATACAACTAAACTCTAGTCACACCATCCTTATAAATATAGTATTATATCCTCATAATTCAATTTATATGCAACAGTAAAATAGCACAGCTACTTCAATGAAAATAAAAAATGGACGTTGAAGGTTGAATAGACTTAAAATGGACTCTTAGGGACTATAAACTGTGTACCTTTGTGTATGTCATACATACAGTCTTTGTTGCCTGTGAACATTGTTCTTTTGAAAAGATTCACAATATTCCTAACATACTAATACCAAGTATATTGGAAATCAAAAGTGGCCAATAGATAATAATGCTTAAAAGCTGCTTCTTTCACCCAAATAAATTTCACGAGTGCATAGAAGTTTTGCCATTAAACTTACCACCAGAACTAGCTCCAAAATTCTGCAGCAGATATCTACGATTACCTTGAACTCCTTGAAACATTAACTAAACACATTACAAAAGCATTACTCTAAGACAGACAGTGGAGAAAACTGGGTACCATTATATTTTTGTGCAAATCCATTCTGTTCCCTCTCACTCATTTTTCAGTCTTTGCAAAATATCTCGAGCTTCCCTTCTGCTTCCACCATAATCCTGCAATGCCCTACTCTCCACCATGCATTAAATTCATATCCTTATACATCTAGGTATCACCTGAGTTGCTTCAAAATCAAATCTTATCAAGAAGAGATTTGGCAATCTCTCAAGAACCATTCAGTCAAACACATTACTACAACTTGCTCTCTCCCTTGAGTATGCACATAACAAGTGACATGCTATCTTTCCTCTTTCTTTCTGCCTCAATGTTCTTCATTGTAAGTTTCCAGAGCAGACAGGCTTTTTTTCCCCCTTTACTTAATTCATTTTGCATTACATTTAACTCAGTGATATGCACAGTCTGGTGCTAATTCTTACTGTGAATAATAGAAAATACACTGAAATTCTATTTCCTATAGGGTCTCAATTTGGGTCTGTTTTCTCGGTAATACATTTTTTAATAGCAATTCAATAGTGAGCTAAAGAATTCCTTTGAGTTCAGGAACATCCCATTTGTCAATTTAGAGTAAAATACCTGAGCTCTTTTTTCCCCCTTTTCTATGAGCTTTTCTTTACTGCTGCATGCTGTGCCTCCAATTTGCAGCCTAGCCTGTGAAAATACCACATTTATATATCTGAACACACCCAAAAATAAAAATAGAAGAGATTTACGGATGACAAAACACTGCTGTCTGGATTAAACTCTGTGGGCATGACTACAGGGAAGCCTGCACAGCTGATAAGGGTGGATATTTAATTTCTGCCTTATAGGAGTCTTAGTGGGAGATGGCATATCTCTGAAAACTTCAGAGGTGAAAAGCTGGTGATCATAATTTTACCCAAGTGGCTTTTTTTTTTGGTATCGCAACTAACGTCGAGTAAAATGTCTTTAAATGGGTTATTCTCATTACAGGGGTTCTATGCAGAACGGATCATCCTTCTCCAACATTGATCTGAATTGTTGAACAAAACTCCAGATTATCTTAGAAATATTTTTGTTATAACTTGGCAACAGGATGCTATAGAAAATGGGGGTGTAAACAGAAGTATAGAAGTCAGTTAAATTTTTCTCTTCAGAGTATCATCTATCCCATCACTGCGATGACTACCTCATTGCCCTAATATTGGGTGACTATTTTATTATTATTTAAATCGAACAGTAAGGTATCTGAATAGGAGACAGGGAAATGCAGAGTAATGGTGCTTCATTTTCTTTCTTTCCTTCCTCCATTTTAAACATTATTTTCCAGCTTTAGTGGAAGCAATTCCATGCAATAAAAACAATTTTACTTCTAACATGCATTAATTCATTCACTAAAAACGTGGTTAAATAGCCGGCTCCAACATCACAGTAAATGAAGCTAAAAGAATAGATAAATGGATGGTATTGAAAGACTTTGAAAGTCTATGCTGAGCTTAGCTATTTATTTATATGCACACAGTGTGAAATTAATGAACATACTTTTGATGGCCAAGATTTCTATTACTTTGAAATACTGTAATGTAGGTAAGTACATAAGAGTGTGTTTTAAAACACTATTACTGGAATCCATATCTTGTCTTTTCAGGGAATATATTCAGATTTATTTGCTTCATTAATGAGAAACCTAATTTCATTTACGGTTGTGGAAACACACTCCAATGATAAGGCATATAGGCAGTTTTGCTTCATAGAAGTTTAATTCCACCTCTTAAATGGAACAATACTTAAAATGCAATTGTTCTAAAATTTCTTGGCAAACAGTTTCCCCAAGCATTGGCCCAATTTTTTTCATCACTGCATTTAAGTAAGTTCCCAGCTTTATTAAGACTTCAGGCTCTTTGTTGCCAAGAAAAAACCCTACTGAAAAAGCAAACAATAAGAGTTGGGTTTTCAAATAAATTTTGGTTTGCTTAGGCTGTTTAAAATTTGGTTTGGAAGAAATCAAACATTATCCAAGCATCGAGAGAGATGAACTGTGTCAGAATACCCTTTTTATGAGCTTTTCAATTGAATTATTGCCTTTGGACTGAAAAAATATACTTTCATAATCATTGCATCAACCATCACATTATTTTAACTAGTCTTTAACAAGTAAAAAGGTGAAATTCAGCCAAATTACTTCAGATTTTTTATTCTACAAAAAATATCGGAAGATACTAAGTGGAAGATAAATTGTAATCCCCAAGGAAGTAATTTTTATTGCCAGCCTGGCTTCATATACCAGAGGACTACATATCATCTACCAATGAACAATCAAATACTTCCTAAAGAAAACAATGAATCCCTTTGTGACATTTTGGTGTGCCTGACTATAAGTGGATACAAAATACCAAGCACTTAAAATTTCAATCTGTAGAGATAAATAGTGTTACATAAAAATTAAAGTTGAGAGGAAAAGGTGCCAGATTTTGTACTCAGAGTTAATGGTAAGCTTATTGCAAAATTCAGTAAATTCTGGCAAAAGGTCCAAGGGTCACATACCTGGAAGACAGTTTGATAAATCATCTAGTGCTGTAGCCAATAGAAATGGCTTCCTTTCACTCTCTACCTTTGCTTTTCAGCTGTATAAATTTCTTCTCTATTTTTAAAGATTAAATACACCAGGAAGAAAATATGATTTCACACTTTGACTATCCATATTATCATCAATCTCTGAAAACTCCTCCTTACTATACGTATAACTCAAATCTCTCAGATAGCGTATTTTTTTGCATTTCTTCCAGTTCTAGAGAATAGCTAGCCACCATCATCAATTAGCTAACATTGTGTATTTTTTGAAGCTATTATGAAACCACTTTTTAATCACCTCACTTTCAAACTAAGTAATCCCAATTCCTTTAACCTGTCCTCAAAGGTCCCATTTTACAACTCTTTAATCATCTCTGTGGCTCTTCTCTGGGTTCTCTACAAGTTCCCCATATCCCTAAGAGGCTTTGGAGCCCAAAACTCAGTAATAATTTGTCTTTCTTTCATCTGTTGTCATGTGGTGGCAGTTGTGGTTTTGGCTTCTCCTACGACCTAGATTGTAGACAATTTGAGGATAAACATTATGTTCTTTGCTTATGAAGCATTTCTGTTGATCGTAATTTCCTACAGAATTAGGTATATCACGGATGCTTACTCATTTGTTTTTTCTTCTGTTTTGTTTTGTTTACTGTAGCAGTCTCATTATCATTGAGTATAAAAGAAGCACCTCATGGCTTTTGTGTTACATAAACTTATTTATGTACTTTGAACCCCTTTCTTATTTTGATCTGCCATATAAAAGTCAAATGTCCATTCTGCTGAGGAGGCTCTCAACACAAGTTCTATAGAATTTACCAGTTTTCAATTAAGACTTTAGGTTTTTTATTTGTCTTTCAGTAAACTAAAGGGAAAACAAGATATTTGTTAGTAAATTTTTGCCAATTTCTTTTCAAGTTGGAAATGTGTGATTTTATCAATTCAAACTGTGACGAAGACGGGGAAAAAAAGCCAAAACATTAATTTCTCTTTTATTTAAACACATTTGTACTAAAACTGAGTATGCGAAACACATGGAAAAAACCAGCACACACCAAGGAGAAGCATTTCTTAATTTGGGGTAAAGAGCTAAGGAAGAAATAGGAAGACTATTGAGCATGGAATCTAGACTATTAAAGTAATAGTAATAAATCATTGAAAATAAAATGATGACCAATGTACTATAGAGTTGAATAAAGAGTTTTCCCTAGAGAGAAATTTGGAGGACTGGACAAAAACAAACAAACAAAACAATTGTCTTACATTAAAGGCAAAAAAATAGTAATATTTCATACAACCTAAATTACTTATTAAAAGTACTTTCAAAACACATTCATAGAAGGCAGAACTTTGTTGATCTGTCAAGAATTTTTTAGATTCTGAGTTGGACGTCAAGGCCATACCTTTATTGAATTTATTCATTAAACATTTCTGTATTGAGTACCTATGATAAAACAGGGACTATTCTACATTTTAGAAATTTAGCAAGAAATAAACAAAATCTCTGCCCTCATGGAAGTTAAATTCTACTTATAGAATAAGTAAATAAAGAAGAAAATAGATAACTAACTAGTAGGTTGCATGTACCAAATGGAGAGAAAAAGATAAAGCAGGTAGAGAATGCCAGGGAGAGGCAGATTGTTGTTTTTACAGAGGATGGTCAGGAAAGGTCTCTCTGACATGATGCCATATTAGCAGAGAACTGCAGGAAGTAAGAAACTGAATCTTCTCAATCTTTGGGAAAAGGAATTTTCTAGCATAAGTACAAAAACTAGGAGGCTAGAGCATATTTGGTATGTTCAAGAAACATCAAGGAAGGCAGTATGACTTCAGAACAAACAATAAGAGAGAGGGGGAGACAGAGAGACAGAGAAGAGAGAGAGGAGAGATAGTGAGGGCCAGATCAGATCATGTAAGATCCTTTAAACCTCTGGTCATCACTTTAGTTTATATTCTCAGTGAGATGGGAAGCCATTTGAGGACTTTTAGGCCAAGGATGGATATAATCTCTCTTAACTTTCAAAATGATCACTTTGGCAACAGTATGGATAATGGACTATATGGCAGCCAAGTGTGAAAGTATTGAAATCAATTAAGTCTATTGTAAGTCTAAACAAGAGGTAATGGTCCACACTGCAGTGTGAACAGTAGAGAGGTTGAGAAGTAATCAGATTCTGGAAGAGCTGATAGGATTTTCTAATGGGTTAAATAAAGATGTGAGAGGAAGAGCAGAATCAGGATGATTCTAGTTTTAGACTTGACCCACTAAAAGAATGAAGATGCAAAAGAGAGAATAGTAGTCCTTTCTTTGCCAAAAATCAGCTCTGCATAGCTGTGTCTATTTTGTTCCATTGATCTATGTGTCCGTCCCTCTACCAGGACCACTCTGTTTGGATTCCTGTAGACACAAAATCACATTGGGTTTGTGATTTCTCCAACCTTATCGTTTTCAAAATTGCTTAAGTAATTCTATGTATTTTGCCTTTCCATACTCATTTTAGAATGAGCTTGTCAAAAAATCATGCTGGGATTATGTTGGCAATTGCATTAAATCTATAGATCCATTTGGTGAATATTACTGTCTTTACTATGTTGATTACTCCAATTCCTGACTACAGTATGTCTCTCCATTTATTTAGGTCTTTAATTTTATAAATCAGCATTGTTTGGATTTTACTATATACATCCTATGCATGTTTTCTTAGATTTACACCTAAGTATTTCTCTTTTGGAGGAATTATTCTAAATGATATTTATTTTTACTGTCAGTTTTTAATTACTCATTGCTAGAATATAGAATTATAATTGTCAATTAAGTTGTGACAGATTAATTTCTTTCTGATTCGTATGCCTTTTCTTTTTTTTCATTTTTCTTTTTCTTTTGCCTTATTGTGCTGGGTGGCATTCCAGTAATATGTTGAATATGAATGGTAGAAGTGGACATTCTTGAATTGTTCCCCATCTTAGGAAGGAAGCATTCACTCTTCCACCATTAGGTGTGATACTATGATGTTATCTGTAGGCTTTTTTTTTTTTTTTCGGAAATGCTTTTATGAGACTGACGATATTCTCTTCCTCTTCTAGTTTACAGAGAGATTGTATCATGAATGGGATTAAAGCTTGTCAAATACTTTTTTCTGCATCAAACAGTATAATCACGTGCCTTTGCTTGTTTTGATTTTTAATTTGTAGAATACTTCGATTTTTAAAATATGGATTAAGCCTTGCATTAGTGGAATAAGGGAATAAAGTCCACTTAGTTTTAGTGTATTACTCTTCTTATATGTTGTTAGATTTGATTTGCTAGTACTGTATTGGGAATGTTTGTGTCTATGCTCATGGGGGATATTGTTCTGTACTTTTCCTACGGTAACTGTCTTTGGTTTTGGTATCAGAGTAATGCTGACCTTATAATATGAACTGGGAGTCTTCCCCTCCTCTTCTGTTTTCTGAAAGAAGTTGTATAAGATTAATATTAGTCTTTCTTTAAATATTTGGCATGCTTATATTTTAAAAAATCATGTTGACAGAATTGAGGTGTATATGTAAAGTAGAATCAGGAAGGAGGCCACTGAAGTTATTTTCATGAGAGATAAAGCTGTCTTGGCTAAGTAGATAATTATAGGGATGTAAATAGACAATTATGTAACATATATATGTATACTGGGTAGCATTCCAGTAATATGTAGAATATGAATAGTAGAAGTGGACATTCTTGAATTGTTCCCTGTCTTAGGAAGGAAGCATTCAGTCATCCACCATTAGGTGTTATCTGTAGGGTGCTTTTTTTTTTTTTTTTTGAAAAGCTTTTATGAGACTGAGGATATTCTCTTCCTCTTCTAGTTTACAGAGATGTATTTACAAATACATGTCGATTTGTATGTGTGTATACACACACACATGTAATTCCTAGGACACTTTCTGATGCATAACAGATAGTCAATCAATGTAGTTTTCTTTTTCATTTCCCCTAAGCTTAATTTTCCCCAGAAAATATAGATATAAATCAGAGTAACTCTTTAGATCAGAGGCGGCCAAACTATAGCCTGTGGGCTACCTGCTTCTTTTTGTAAATACATTTTTTGGGGTCACAGCCATGCCATTTTATACAGGTTGCCCATGGCTGCTTTTGTGCCACAACACCAAGGTCGAGCAGTTGCAGTAGATATCATTTGGCCTGCAAGCCTTCGATATTTACAATCTGACAGAGTACCAACCCTGTTTTTGCAAAGTCTCAGGCTGTGGATGATGTAATAATAGTAACATGCAACAGCTTTTAGCAGATATTATCCCACAGAATAAAAGGCAACATCCTTACGATTTCCTACGATGATCTACAACAACCTGCTACTCCACTCTCTGCCTTCCTTAATATGTCTCTGACTTCATCGCTTCTAACTCCCCCATCACCTACTCCTTGTCAGCTTTCTTATTCTTCTTCAAAAATTTAGACACACTTCCTTTTTGGGACCTTTCTTTGGAGATATCCTCTGTCTAGAATTTTCTTCCTTCAAACGTTCCCAAGGGTCATCCCTCATTTCCTTCCTTTTTTTTTTTTTTTTTTTTTTTTGCTCAAATCTCTCCACCCAACTCCACATTTTAGGAAAAAAACAATGTGGAGGTGCTTCTCGTCTCCCCAAGATCCTCTTCTGTTCAGCCAGATGTTTCCTGTATAAATGTTTGGATCTGCCTGTTCATTTTGGTGGGTGTTCTTGCCTTCTTCTCCCACCACCCATGCCACCTTCTCACTCTGCTCCTGGCCTCCAGCCCACGGAGGACTACCTGGGGGTGAGGTTCCTGGGCCTTCCCTCTCCTGCCTTTCTTCTTTCTGTTGGTTGTCACTTCAGCTGGCTGTATTGCTTTTTAATATTGCACCAAAAGTTTTTTAGATAAAATTTAAAAAAAAGGAAAAGGAAAAAAATTGGTTACAATTTGGTTCTTCTAAAGATATCACATTGTTTCTCTTTCTTAAGTGAAGTCCACCTTGACCACCCTATTTTTATTAGATTCAGGGAACTCTAAACTAATCCCTAAAACTTTAGGAATTGCCAAATCCCTAACAATTTTTCAAAAACCCTTTAACATAAGCCAGGTGCGGTGGCTCATGCCTGTAATCCTAGCACTTTGGGAGGCTGAGGCAGGCAGATTGCCTGAGCTCAGGAGTTCAAGACCAGCCTGGGCAACATGGTGAAATCTCATCTCCACTAAAATACAAAAAATTAGCCAGGCATGGTGGCATGCACCTGTAGTTCCAGCTACTTGGGAGGCTGAGGCAGAATTGCTTGAACCCAGAAGGTGGAGGTTGCAGTGAGCCAAGATCGCGTCACTGCACTCCAGCCTGGAATAGAGCAAGACTGTCTCCAAAAAAAAAAAAAAAAAAAAAAAACTATGTACATCAATGCCCAGATTTTGTCATGCCCCAGTATAAATCTAGCGATTTCTATTTGTTTAAACTTCCCCTTTGCTGTACATAACCAAAATTCTGCAAGTAGTTCAAAACCACTCAAATATAAGTTGATGTTAGTGAGAAAATAATTGTTATGGTCTTGATTTTTTTTTCTAGTCATCTTTTCTAAAACTCTTCTAGTGGCAGCTCTAAATATCAGTTGGACTGGTACTGAAGAAAAAACAGGACAAAAAGGCCAGAAGGGTAAGTGCTATCTTTTTTGTACCAAAGGACTATTCTTTCTTACGAGGCCTGAGACCTTGTTTGCCCACTGTAACAATTAACTTTCCTCCTCAAAAACTACTACATTAGGAAAAATATCACCTTCTACCCCAGCTCATCCCTGAATTCTATGATGTTTCTTTCTGAGAATGCCAGCTGAGTGATGACAAGAAGGGAGAATGGAAGATTTGAGAAAAATAAATCATGATTTCATTATCTCAGCTTGGACCTTAAGTTCAGGAGGGCATTGTTAATGTTTCCTGATTTCACCAAACCACCTATTACCATGTCAGCTTCAAACACGGATAGAGTGAAATGTATTGCTTCCATGGGGAGATCACATTTTCCATGAGCTAGTGTATTCAGCTTAAGTCGCATTTTAAAATGTTCAGCGAAAAATGGCATTTAAAAATCCTGACCCATTTAAGAAAGAGAAACACTGTGATTTCTTTAGAAGAACCACATTGTCCAAAGCAGGACACAGTGAACAGGTTTTCTTCAGCCAGTCTGTGTAAACTAACTTGTACTTCTGGAGAAAGAAAATGAGAAGAAAACAGAGAAGCTGGTTGCCAGGGTAACCATGTCCTGATTGGAAAAGAGGAGGTCATGGGGTTTGATATAATTGAAGTAACCCAGCCTGTAGCTGTATTTTCTCCCTCACCTGCTTGAATCAAGGGGAAGGCAAAGTCAGAGAAGAGCTGGAAGGTTATTATTTAAAGTAGGATAATGTGCAGCAGGAGGTCAAGTATTCTTTTTGAAGAGTTGTATGGATAGGTAAAATAATATAATAATCCCTTATATATTAGCGTGAGCACATTGCAACTTACAAACATTTCAGAGCCCGCAGCCCCCTCAGTTGTTAAATTCACCCACATCTTCCAGCGTTCCTTCTCCAAAAGCTCTTCTACCTGGTCCGCTTCAAAGTGAAGTCATAACTCCTTTTCTTACATTTCTCACATATTCCCCCTTCTCTTCCATTCCCACCTTCATTTACCACACTCCACAGCTTGCTTTATCAATTCCAGTCTGGATTTTGGCAGCAGATTACTGTCTGGTTTCCTTGATTCCAGGTCCCTTTGCACACCAACTGCAATCTCTCTCCTCCATTTCCATTAGGTTAAAATGAAATTAGGTAACATATATGAAGTGTCTAGCATGGAGTTAAATAAATGCTATTCCTTATTTTTACAATTCAGTTTAGCAAACTTATCAGACAGCATTTCCTGCAACAAGACCAGTCACTGCTTTGAATAACTATACAACATTCATATGTATATATGAACACACACGCACACACACACAACATATTACTTTATACACACATATATAGACAGAGGGCAACAGAGGCTGTTCAACAGAAATCCATTGATTAACCTCAAGGGATTTGGATTCTCTGAAACGTATGCATCCATACAGGTACTTTTGCTTTGAAACATGAAAACCCCCATTCTCCCAAGCCCAGCTTCAGTTTCCAACCCTAACTAGAACTCCTAGTTCCAATCTCAGCCCAAGCACTCACCCCACAACTCAACCCCAGCTCTGAATCTGGAATCCCAGGTGGTGTCCTCCGTTGTCAATAGAGTTCTGTTCAGCATTCACAGGTCTCTCCATGCAGCCTTGCCCACCTCACCAACCTAATTTCAAATTGTTCAAGACCCATCTCCATGTTCCTGTGCTGGTGACCTTCCCCCAGCCCTGAGGAGACGGGTCTTCCTGCTCCCTTTCCTCATACCCAGTCTATTCTTTGAAGGTGACCTCCAGCTTCTCCCATCCCATGGAAAATTCTCTGACTGTAGTTCACCCTGATTCTGCCTTTTTTCTCTGGAAACAATTTACCACCCATGCTAGGAGTATAATATTGTTATATATACACAGGCAAGAGGGCATGGGACACTATCTAATTAACCAAGTAATTGGGATTAAAGTGTGAGAAAGTGAGTAAAGATGGAAAGCTAAGAGGAGAAGCCTGAGTGATTATTTGCTTGAGGCTTGTAAACCCACTATTGACTTACTTGGTGGCTAGCCTAGGCCAGAGAAAACTCAGTGTGCGTGTGGAGCTCCATATGGAATCAAGCAGCTAAGAAGCACTGAAAGTTTTCTCTGTGCCAAGAACTGAGGTAAGCATTTTATCTATATAGTATCATGTAAACCTCATGGCAACCCCATTAAATGCTATTGTTATACTATCTTTATACCAGTTAATCAGATGAGAACTCAAGTCTGAAATAATAGCTTAAGCAATGTCATATGTGTAGTAAGTGCTGGGGTCAGGACTAAAATCTTATTTTGCATGACTTCAGAATCTATGCTTTTGATTCTGGATCCTGTTTATGCACCTCTTTGGGCTGTATAAATGATGACAGCACTGCTTTCCATTCATAAATTTTTTTTTTTATAAATTCAATCATTGACAGATTTAATTGTCCTAAAAATACTTTCATGCAGAGGTGTCTAACCAATGTCCTGAGCTGCCTGTTTAGGGGCTACCCGATTCATACTGACTTTGGTGATAAGTTTGTGTCCGTTGCCCTCCACAGAAGGCCTTTTTGCCATCTTCTATTATCTCCAATTCCATTCTTATTAAATAGGGACATCTCTTCCTGCAGGTTTTGCTTTTACAGTATTTTGTGAATATGAAGGATTCTGTTATTTTCAATCATTTCTGATCTACTGATCCTGGATGTAAAGAAAGAGCCAAAGGAATTGATGTCAATAAAACTGAGGTCAATCTAGAAGTGTTCAGTGTTCATAGTACATGGTAATTGCCATAAAATCCTCAGTGCTCACAAGAATACTTTAAGAAATCTCCAAATTAAAATTGAAGAAAAGATAGAGACTAAGTTGGGAAATATTATAAAAGGCAAGATGAGAGAACTTGTGTGCTTTTGTTTTGTTTATGTTAATATTACATATAAACCTAGGTAGAAAATACAGCCCCTCTGAGCTAGGATGAAGGCATCAAGAACTTCCCCTTTCAGCAGCCCTCAAGGGAGGGACATGAAGTGGGGAGGATCTGCTTGGCAGGGGTAACAGTTTTATTACTGACACTGTTAGAATGGCTGGTGCATGGTCATAATAAAAACCAGACCTATTTTAGTGAGGTTTACTGTCATTTTAAAATTATCTACAGACAATGTACCTCCTTATTGCCTGTACTGGGGTGTCCCACTCCTCCCAACCTCCCCACCATATGCCACTGCCCATGTAATGCTAGAAGAGGTCAGGACCTCAATATCATGTCCCATGATTACTTGAGCAAGCCAGTCTACATCTTCTGTATAACACAGGAGAACCCAAGGGTGACACATAAACAATGGGCCCACTATGGGTGACAAAGATATGGAATTCTACAATATTTAACATATAAGTTTTAAAAACATTTAGAAATAATTTTCCATGAGAATTTCTACAGTAAACATTCTAAGATTTCAGTATTTTCTTCTGAGTCACACTAATTATTGAGTCTGCTTTACTCTGGACATTGGAATATATGGAAACATTATTGGCGAGGGGTAGAAGGCAAGGAGCAGTTGTCACCGGGAAAGGTTAATTGTGTATTTCTCTTAGTGGAATGATTTAGAGAGTTTAGGAAAAGAGCATGTGAATATAGCAACCTCCCTACCGTATACACTGTTTCTGATCAAAATTAATGAGTTGTGATCAAGTCAGATAAATGAATAGCTAACTAATTTTTTTTTAAAGTTCTTCACTGTTCCCTCCAAGTTGGAAAATGCATCTACTTAAGTACACCAACACAATCCAAGAAACTGTCAGCAGGGATTATCAGGGCAGCCTCTTAAGATTTGACCCATTGCCCAGGAGTCCACACATGACCTTGATCTCCCCGGTCAAACAATGTCTATAAATAATGCACTAAGCATTTTCACATGTGGGGTGAGCAACATTCTTCATATTTGCTCATGAATTCACATTGCTTCTTATGACGCTGCTTCAGTTTTCTGTGTAGTTATCTTTAAAAGGTTGATTACATGCTTTCCTTTAAAATGAGAGCATTGTGTCTGTGAATTTCAATATAAAGCCTAGGGCTGTGAACTGGAAGAGGAAAAAAAATAATAACATTCCAGTAACATCAAGTTAAATGTTTGATGAGTTTGTTTTGATAAAAACAGTTTATGTTTTTACTACTTTACATGTAAAATGAATGATTGCCAATCAGAATAGAGCCATTATTTTTGCATCTCGTTCTTAGATGGTTCTCAGTAGGGCATTCTGGAAGTCTGGATTAGCTGTCCAAGAATATTTTACAGAAGCTAAATTTGTCTCCTTCCAAATCATCTGCAAACCTCCAGGTTTACACAAAAACAATGAAAAGGGTTCTTCATTGTATTAGGAGCTTTTGAGTTGGTTTTGTTTTCCTTCCAGTTATTCTACTCCCTGTTAGTGGGCAATATACATAGGGCTGTGAGCTTTCATCTGACCATCTCCGTCTAGAAAATCCAGGTTAATGTTGCATAAAAGCATAGCCAATCTGCTGGAAGAAACATAGGATTTCAGAAAAGAATAAGCTAATGGCATGACTGAATTCTTTTCTTTTCTCAGAAATACACTTTTACCTTACCACTTAAGCTTAGACTTTTGGCTCTAACAAATTTTCTTTTGTAATGAAACTATATCTATCTGAAAAACAACCATAACAAACAAAGAAACAAAACAGAGACTGGCCCCCGTACCCGCTACACACAAAAAAACTCACAATGCCTGAATTTTCTATATCATTTAACACATTTTTTTCATTACCAGCTTTAATTGTATATCAGCTTTTCTGAATGAACCTTGTACAAAATGAAGGGATTTTATTTGCATGTTTTATTCCATATTGCTATGGACAAGAAAAGATTGTAATGGGGGAGGGAAGATGTAAAATGGACTCTTCAAACTGGGGTATTACTGCCATCTAGTGTGATGCACTGTAACCCAGAGGGGAAGGAAAAGATGATCTGAGACAATCCAATCTGAAATTGTAGGAGTTTGAGGGAGGGAAGAGAGCACTTCTCCGAAGAAATAGCCACCACCCTCCCGCATTCACCATGTAATGAATTCTTTCTCTACAAAAGCATTAGTATGTGGTCAAACAATACAAAGCAGTCTGTTTTGCCCAGCAAAATGGAGAAACCCTGGTCAATTCTAAAAGCAAGTTCTTTATGAGAAGGCACGTCCCAACTGTAAAGGTTGTTAAACGGCAGGAATGATTTATTCAAAGGAGGGATGGCCATATCCTTTGAAAACAGTCCAGATAGCCATATGTCTACTGCTTTCTGTAAGGACAGTCACGTTTGCACAGAGACAGGCAGACAGTCTTGATGGCATCTTTGTTCCCTTTCAAGCTTTCTGATTATATATAACAAAAATAATATTTGTTATTTATGCCCATAAGTGGTTCATAATATATGTGTTGCCCACAGAAATATTATATTACTGAAGCCCCACCATGTAGGATTGTAAAAATTAAACCTAATCACAAACATGGGGCAAGATACATGAAATTCTAGCCCAATACATGTATTTATTTTTGCTTCACATGGCACAAGATATATATATATATATATTACATATATATATATAAGGACGGAGCGATGAGGGGAGTAGTATCTTCTTTCTGTAACCCTCCATAGTCCTCCTCCCCTGCCAAAGTTTTGTTTGGTTCTGGCACAGATTCAGTGAGGTATTAGCTGGTACCTTTGTAGCTAATAGCCAGCACTGATTCTTCCATTCACCATAGGACAATTCTTCAATTCTTTATTTCACTAACTGTAACTCCCACTACCCCCACTAACATACACGCATTATCATTCCCATCCTGCGGGGGTTTGTGATTTTAGAAGCTAAGGACTTTGGTGCCCTGGTTATATTTGAAATCTGTGACTTTAAAAGCTCAAAAGGCAGAAACCTGCAGGGATAATGAGAGCTAATTTAAAGAATCATAAGTATAAAATCTAAGCTCAGAGGAATTTTAAGTCATTACCTATGTCAAAGTAACCTAGAACTGCAGGCTATTTTTGCTGGTTTCAAAAGTGACCTGTAGCTCCAGGTGTCTTGAATTAAAAAAAAAAAAAAAAAAAATCACTCTGTCCTACCCTGGGCTCAGGACACATTGAAGGAGTAAATGCATTGCCAGCCAGGCACCAGGTAGAGAAAATGGAACTAGGAGGAAGTGCCAACATCATAGCCCAGGCTGGCAGAATTTCCAGCTTCTCAGGAAATCTTTTGGACAGAAAAGTGTTAATGGGCTAGAGTAGGTTTCTCAGGTTTTTGTAGCCATCTGTGTTTGAGAGGGGACTTCTGGTAAACTTTCTGCTGGTGTTCTCTTTGCCTGTGCACAAGAAAAGCAATAGTGGGAGGTTAATGCATATTTTATCACATTCATACAAATTGGGGATCAGATTTAACTGGTTCTACATATTATTTTCAGGAGCCAAATAAGGATTAAGCTCCTTTTCACTGGGCAAGGAGAGAGAGGCACAGAGAACTGTTAAGTCTCAGGTCCATGCAACCTAAGGACCTGCTCTTTAAACAGAAATAAGTGTGCCGCAGAGTTGAATATAAAGGCAAATCTATTAATTCATCATTAAACATAGATCAGGAATCAATAACATTTTCATCCTAGCTATGGCAGGATTAAAGTCTGCTTGCCTCATTAGAGACCATAGAATTGAAAACTGAGCTTGCGTAAAAACATTTCACCCCTCCTTTTTCTTCCACCAAAGTCTGAACTCCCCAGCCTCCTCACCTCATTTTTTCCTGCTGCTCTGTATTTGTCTGTTTGCATCTGACATGAATAATGCTGCAACCTGGAGAACATGCGGCCCTCTGGTAAGGCACTCACCCAGCTTTTCTAGGATTAATCACAGACTAAAACACTAAATAACATACTGATATATTAACTCCATTAAAATCTAATTCAGTGGCAATAACTTTTAGAAAGCCAACAAAGGGCTTATGAAGAACAAAGTGAGAAAAGACCAAAAAAGGTAAATCAGTGCTCTAACTGAAAGTAAATCAGAATCAAAGACAAGAGTATGAATTAAAAGAGGCCCGGATGGAGTCCCAATCTGTACTACAAACCCATATATTCTTGCAAGATTTATCCTTGAATCTATATATAAGTGTAATCAAATAATATTGATGTGCTCTCAGCTGATGAGAGGCTTTCAAATGTTAGGACATCCTGTTCAAAAGAGCTAGGCAATGTAATGTTGCCAAAGGGATTTCATGTTTGCTTTCAAAGACTCCTATTCATGAGTTTCATTGTGGATATTCATTAATCCATTCCTTTAAATCTGTCTACATGAAGGACGCTCTTCTAGATCAGTGCATAAAGGAATGAAGAAATCAGGCTATATCCAGGTATCCAAGAACTTGCAGGGATAAAGAACACAGGGAATAGCACTGAAAAACACCCTAAAGCAGCAGAGAACAGGGTATTATTCATTTGAGAAGTACCAAGAGGAGACAATGTGAAGACAGAAGAAGGAGAAGGCCCTCTGCAAGCCCAGGAGAGAGGCTCAGAACAGATCCTTCCCTCACAGCCCTCAGGAGGAACCAGCCCTACCCACACCTTGATCTTGGATTTCTAGCCTCCAGAACTGTGAGACAACACATTTCAATTGTGTAATTCACCCAGTTTGTGGTACGTTATTACGGCAGCCCTAGCAAAATACAGATTCTGGATCTGTATGATTGACTGGATCTGGTGTCTGATGCAAGAAATATGGACGAGATTTGTACCAGCAGCAAGGGAAATAGCATGCCAGGAGGCTGGAGCAGGATGAGCCAAGGACCTAGGTGGAAAGTCACTAGAGACTTCAGAGCACAGTATCCAGATGATCAGAGATACTGCCCACATCATCCCCAAAGGTGCCATTTATATGGCTTCAATCCCGATTTGATACAAAGTGGAAAACCTTCAATCCCAAATTGTTTTTCACTGGAAATTTGCCCTCAAATTTGGCAGAGTTTTGGACAAGGATGAAAAAAAGAACTGGTGGAACAATCAAGATCTTTCTGAAAAGTTTTTTTCTCCCACATTGTATATGGCAGTTGGTTAGATTTAGTGAATGATAAGCTTTTAGATAAAAAATGGGAAACTAAGTAAGATAGGCAGCATTTGATTTCATTTAGCTGCTGTCTCTGTCTTAGCATGTCATCAAGAAACACAAATTAATACAGATTGAATGTAGCAAAATTGAAAGACTAGAAGACGAATATTGTACTTTTTCTTGAGCCCCACAAATTGCCTTGGGGTGTGTGTGTGTGTGTGTGTGTGTGTGTGTGTGTGTGTAAACTTGCCTGGATTTTCCCTGGTCTGGTTAATTTAATCTGGGATACTCTCAAATCCTAGTTGGTAAATCTGCTGAACAATGCTGCAAAAGAGCGTCTGTGTGGACCCATAGATGACGATTCACATTCTCACCAGACTACTCACTAACATTGTGACTTCGGGCTACTTCTTTCTTCTGAACTTCAGTCACTTCATCAGTACAAGTGTGAATTTAAAATACTCGCCTTGCTTATCTTAAAACGTTATTGTGAGATCCAGGTGGTATTCAGTAATTGAGAATGTTTAGTAATAGCAAAAATATGATATCAATAAGAGGTCACTGGGCCACTACACTTTAAAAGCATATTAGAAATTGCTGCCACTTTCAGTTTTTGAGGATCAGTGCATTTTTATCTCCTTCTCGTTGATGGCATCAGAATCATTGTTTGTACTGACCTCGTGTTCTTCAACAAATGTTCTGATGTAAATAAAAAATATGATCTTGATACATAGAGTGCTCAAAGCTATTCAAGAGTAGATCCGTAGCTTTGGGTAAATACCAGAAAATTACATATTTGACTAGAGCAAAAGGAAACAAACAAACAAACAAACAAAAAATCAGTGTTTTATACACTCCTGAACATCAGTTACGTCGCATCAGTCATCAAGGAACCAGGTAATTTGCAGATTGGGTAAAACAAGTCTGGAATTTAGGACGTGAATCCACAAAAGGCATCTTAAAATATGCTTGTGAGGATCCTTTGAGACTTTGCTGAAAGTTATAGAAAAGGAAAGAAACAGATTACACTGAACATAGTAATGTTTATCTTGGCCTCTTTCTGACTCTACACTTCTCCCCTACTAATTCACTTGCCTTCTTTAGAAAGTTGGTGCCTTCATGAGGTTTGTCAGAATTCAGGACATCGTAAATTCTCTGAGACAGTTCTTTCCTATTTATTTATTTATTTACTTATTTATTTATGACAGAGTCTTGCTACGTCACCCAGGCTGGAGTGCAGTGGCATGATCTCAGCTCACTGCAACCTGTCTCCCAGGTTCTAGCGATTCTCATGTCTCAGCCTCCTGAGTAGCTGGGATTACAGGCATGCGCCACCATGCCTGGATAATTTTTGTATTTTTAGTAGAGGTGGGGTTTTGCCATGTTGACCAGGCTGGTCTCGAACTCCTGACCTCAGGTGATCTTCCTGCCTTGGCCTCCCAAAGTGCTAGGATTACAGGCGTGAGCCACTGCGCCTGGCCCAAATTCTTTCCCTTTTAATCTGACAATTATGGCTTGAGAGTCTACTTTTGCAAAGCATCATGATAAGAAGTATTTAAAATGTGGAGCTGGAGGCCAGAGGAAGATGTGTATAAACACAAACATTTCTATGACATTTTCAATGTGTTTATTGTGCTCTAGGTCACATGCTAATACAATATTTGAGGACAGAAAATATCAGGACAATGTAGAGTGCCATGAAGCAACACAGACACCTTTTTTTTTTTTTTTTTTTTTTTTAAGAGCATGATTTGGAAAAGAACTATTTGGGGCCAAATTGTGAATGGTCTGAGGGAGTTTGATTTCTTTCTTCTAACCAAGCCCACTGAAAGTCATTGACACAAAAGCTCATTTAACATTAAATGACACAAAAGCTCATTTAACATTAAATGAGCATGTAAGTTGGTAGTCAAGGTTTCAAAGGATAAGTCATGAGGATTTGCACCCAGAGAATGACAGGAAAAAAGGAACACAAGAGAGCTACAACAGAGAGAATCAACATGGCTTATCAATCGAATGGATGTGACCATTGAATGCATGTGACATGAGAAGTGAAGGATCACAGTAATTCCAGATGATGAACCCAAATGAAGGCAAATCTCAAGGAGAAAAGTTGGTGGGAGAAGCAGAACTAAGCACACCAGCTCTTTCTCAGAAAGGTTCTAATCAAGCGATTGATTCTCCCAGAAAAGGAGGGGCAGAGAGAGGTCAATGGTATCAGTCTAATAGGAAGTTCTACCACCTGGAAATGGAAAAGATGTGGTAGTTCCCCCTACCCCACATGGAAATTATAATATTTATTTGAAACAGATACAATGTAAAGAAGCAGGCCAAACCCAGATCCTTATCCTTCATGAACATTCAAACCTGTACCTCCCTCAGCTTCCCCCATCTTAGTCATCGTTATCTCCACACACACAAGCACTCAAGCCAGAGACCTGGAATTCATTCTTAGAATCCTGTGCTTCCATCCGCAGATACTGTTGATCTCATTTCAAAATTGCATCTTATCCATCTCCATGCCTCTATGAATGGCCCAGGTACAGACCATCATCATGTGTCACCTGCACTACTAGAGTAGCTTCCTAACTGGCCTTCTTGCTTCTCCACAAAACAGCAGGGTTGATTTTTAAAAATATAAATCAGATTGTGTCAGTCCCTTCTTAAAATCCTCCAGAGTGAGCCTCCAAATTCTAACCACAGCTCATCAGGAGTCAGGTCGTCCGGATCCAGCCCTCCCATGCTCAACCTTCGTCTCCTGCCATTCTCCTAGCTGCACACTGAGACACAGTCACACTGGCCTTCTTTCTCTTCTCAGTGCCAAGCTCCTCAGGCCTCAACAAGCTGGCACTTTCTACCCCTATTCCCTTGAATGCTTTGTCATGGAACTTTGAGAGGCTGGATCTGACTTATAATTTCAAGTCTCTGTTGAAATGTCATTTCCTCAGAGAAATCTTTTAGGCTTCACAATCTCTAGTAAGTCCTCTGTCTCACCGCTCACTCACTTTCCATATCACCTTGTCTTATTGTCTTTAAAGTATTTATCACTATGTTAAAGCATCTTGTTTATGGATGTGTTTATCATTCCTCATTTTCCCCTGTAGTCTCGCCCCACAGCAAATTAGAAGTTAATTTGCATGAGAGCAAGAGCCTTTGCTGTCCTGTTTTACATCGTTGATGCCTAAATGAAAAGAATGAAAGAAGATGGAGAGATCTGAGTACAACCATCAAGTGAAGGCGTAACCAAGGGAGGCTTGAGCATACACGTAGACAGAGGGGAGGAATCTTGTGGAATAGAAGAGGATAGAGACACAGAAGAGAGGATTCATTGGTGAAATGAAGCCTCATGCATGTTAATGGGTAAATAACTTGAGTTGAGATTTATCCCGGGAAGACAAAATCCAGTTCTTTCACTCAGCTAGGAAACACCCCTGCATCCCCTTAGGAATCTGCTCTCCTTTAGAAGCAATTATCTGACTTTGCTGTGGCTGAAAAACAACACTTTGGCCAAAAGGAAGTTTCTCATTGATCAACCCTATAGCTTTAGATGTCCCTGACACTGGCCCTCAAATTCTCAATGTCTGGTTAAGGACTAGTCATAACAAAGAAGATGATTTCGTCTTAACATATGCACAGAGAACACCTGGGCAGGGCAGAGTTCCTTAGCTTAGTTGAGCTGTTAAATTTGGAGGTATGACTTTAATAAGGATTTTATAAGTAAACCTAAAAATTGTGTGGGCCAATCACCACCCTCTACCCAACCTATTTTACAAATGATGTGCAAAATTCAAGAGGTTGACTGAAACTCTTCCTCCCGATTTATGATTGAAGACTGTTCCCATTCCTCATGCCATGCAGAAAAAGCCAAAAACTTTGCTTTTGTCTATCCTTCTTCCTTCTCTGCCAAAGAAGGCATAAAAATGTGCTATAAGCTCGTGTTTGGGATGGGGGAAATTACTCCTGTGGAGGTCTCCGGAATGACATGAGTATTTCACTTCAAATTCAGCCAAACCTGAGGAAATGCTTTGCCAAGTTTCTCAGGTCTCAGTCCTTTTTCTTGGTGCACTGAGTCACATCTCTTTCCAAGTTTACCAAGAATACGTCCCCTAGTAAAGGCAGAAAACAATGGCAGGATGGTAAAGCCAATCTATCTGTATATGCAGTGCAGTAATAAAGCTCTCTGGTTCATTTTTCATGCCTAAACCACCTTTTAGAGTTTTCAAATACAGTGATTTCTCTTTGTTCTTAGCAGTTGAAGTTCTGCATATGATACAGCATTAAAACAAATCTTTCATACATTTCCTTTGTCACCTGCTCGGAATCTTTGGGAGATCAAGGCTTCTTTCTGAGCACTAGGAAGTGCCTCCTCTCTCTAAGGAAACACATCAAAGACAAAAGCCCCCTCCTCCACAAATAATGAAAGAAATCAGAATATAAGCCAAAACTGAAATGGGAATGTGAGATGCTAAATGCATTAGTCACGTGTTTGTTTTCAGAGCACCTCATTTCCTGTGGCTTCTTCTCCCATGACTGGTTTCCACAAGGTTGACTAAGACCAAAGAGTGACACCGTAGTGTGATGTACTGGGCTGTCCCATTTGTCAACTTTCAATTGCTCATGAAAAAAGAGAGTTAACTCCTTCACCACTGCCTCCTCTTTTCTCTTCCTACCCTTCTCAGAATACAAGAATTTCTTATTATCTTAGAGATCCTTGCTGCTGCTTTCTTGTGACGTTTTGTCTACTAGAATCTAATTGAAAAGTGCTACTGTTCCTCATCCCATTTTATCCCCCAGAAAACTGGCAGTCTTGACAATTTTCTGACATTTCCAAACAGCTCAGGCTCTTCCTGCCAACTCCCAGTAGCTCTCTAAACCTTTTTAATCCCATAGAATGCAAACTAATCTACTGAGAGAAAGGCACCAGGCCTGGTCTGGCAGCTGAAGCTAGGAATGTCAGAGTGGGGAAAATGATAAATACACCTGCCACAGAGAAAGGGAGAGACACAGCCAGGCTCAGCAACACAATAAGGTTATTTAATGTACAGAGATAGGCAGGACACTCTCCAGTACCCTCGAGTGCAAATTGCATGGAGGTGATTTGTTCAGAAATAGAAATGACAGCTATTAACAATGTGCACAGTCTCGAGGTGGCTGTGTTAGGGAAGACACAGAGATAAGGGGCAGAAATCCACCTGTGTCCCCTCAGACCACTCTCAGTTTTCCTCTGTTTGTTCCAGGGTTACTGAAGTCAGTAGCACCTTGGGATCTACATCTCCATGCTGTGGAAGGAGGGGAATGGCTGCCTCCTAGATGGGAACCACTGGATTAAGTTAATATCAGGCTGCTCCAGAAGCAACGAAGTGACTTTGAGTAAAAGTATCTTTCTGTGCTCTCAACTCATCTCTGATCAGGAGTGGTGTGCTGGGCAAAGCATTGAGTTCAGAGTTAAATTTGAATTGGAATATTGTGAAAACATTTCTACCATCTTGTTTTTTGAGACTAGGTCTCACTTTATCATTTAGGCTGGAGTGCAGTGGGGTGATCTCGGCTCACTCCAACCTTGACCTGCCAGGTTTAAGCTATCCTCCTGCCTCAGCCCCCCAAGTGGCTGTGACTACAGGTGCACAACATCCCTCCCAGCTAATTTTTTGTATTTTTTGTAAAGACGGAGTTTCACCATGTTGCCCAGTCTGGTCTCAAACTTCTGAGCTCAAGCCATCCTCCCGCCTCAGCCTCCCAAAGTGCTAGGATTAAAAGTGTAAGCCACTGCACCCAGCCATCTACCATCTTTCTTTTTCTTTGAGTCCATGACACCAGGTCTATGGCCTGATGTGTCCACCTAATGAAGATATGGACACATGCTTTTAAGTGCACCTGAAGAAGGGCAAGCAGGCACACACAGACACAGAACTACAAGCCTCTGCTTTTGAATTAGAGACAATATATCTACAGATAGGAACTTGGAAAAGAGCTAAGGAAAAAAAATCACAGGTTAAACTAAATAGAGGTTTTCAGGGTTGCCATAGCCAAATTTTTCTAAGATTATAAACTCCTAGAGGGCAGAGACCATATCGCTTTACTTAATTTTAAACCAGAAAGCATGAAACTATGCAGAGTTAGGTAGTTGAGAAGTTATTTGGATGACAATGACAGTAATGACAAGATAGCTGAAACTGTTAAGCCCAAATGAAATTATGGCTTAAGCAATTTAATCATTTTCTTGGAGCAAAATGAGATTGGTTGATACATAAATGTATAATGACAGACTGAATACTGGAAACTAGACTGTTAGGCACCGTGGGAATATTGAACTTAAGTAAAAAGCCAGTCTTTCCTCTCCCATCAACAGAGACAGATCAAATAGTGACTAGACCCTCAGATGAAACCAGAGATTCCATATCTTTCTCCTTCTTTTCTTGCAAAAGGAATATGACCAAAATTTTATCAATTTTACCTAGTTAAAAAATAATGTAGCCTAATATCAATTATTAAAAAATAATGTAGCCTAACGCATCAATTACCTTTCAAAATACTGGCCTTAAAGAACCTAGTTTTTTAAAGTACAATCTGAATTCCTATATTTTCTCATGAAAAAATTATATTGCTTCACGTGTAAACAGTATAATTGCAAGCTATTCTGAAGCTTACACTATAACCTTAAAGAAGTTGACTTTACAGAAAATTTTCTAATAATATAAATATTAGTCATAGATACATTTTTCACTTGATAATTATTTTTCTTTGACATAAAGGTCAATATTTTTCAATGCTGTAGTCATCAATTTCAAAGGAAATATTTGTGTGCTGCTTCCTGTTTCTGTTCTAAGCAGCCAATGGGCCAACACAGCAGCTGGCTATGAGGTCAACAGAAACTAACATCTGATGCAGTATATTAGCAATTACTACAGATTCTAGAACCAGGCATTGGTGAGTTTTGGTCAATGCTCAGAGAACAGGCAATTGAACTCTTTACAGAGCTTTCCATTTTTGAGTTCTTTCTAGAGATAGGTTTTGCTGGAAAAAAAACAAGTCATACTGACTTCATGAAAGAGGGAAAGAAAATCTTAAGTATGTGAGTATTTATAGAATCTTTAATATGCATCTCTACATATGGTCTATGTGTATATGCATGTGAGAAAAGATTCCTGGTGTTTCTCAAGTTAGTCTAGGTTTTGAGAGTTTCTAAAAACAAGAAGACCGATCTTGAGAATTAAACAAAAAGTACTATCTTATTATAAAATTCTATTCTCTATTATGCAGAAATCCATTATATAATACACAGAACTCTGCCTTCATCAAATCTATAGAACAGTCTATGGAATTCTATCTCCAAAGATGAATCTGTGAGGTTTCAAAGGCATTGTGTCAGAATTATATAAAACGTTTGCTGAAAAAATATCAGGGAGTTCATCAAACTTAACCAGTTATTTAGCACTTAAAAAGCACCCAGAATATCTAAACTAACCCTTAAAAATCAAATTATATCAAAATGTTTTAGAATTGTCATAACCTCAGGTACATGTCTAATGAGACAATATTGAAATATCCAAATAACACATACTAACCTTAAATAAATCCATCTCAGTAATATTATTTAAAAATTAACCAGAAAAACATACCCTTCACTCTAGGTCATCTGGAGAGCTCAGTAGCCTTCTTCTTACTGAGATAAATTTTCAGAAGTCATTAATAACAATCTCTTATCTAACTGAGAAGGATACGACTTTTACTGCAAGGAATGATATGTGCTCCAGAAACGCAAAACAGACATTAGAAGTATCAAACACTTACTTTTGAGTTATGAATAAATAACATATTTTTGAAAAGAATGCATTATGATTCACTTACCTGTTACTTTAGCTTCATATTTACTGCAGACTCCATAAATTTTGACTGCAGTTTCACTGGAGTGTTGCTGGTCAGTGAAATCTGTGAAAAAGCACAGAGCAAACAGTCATGAGACAAAGTAATATTTGAATAGAGTAATGCCTTATTTTAACAACAGAAAGTTTAAGTATAAACTTATTTATTCATATGAACAATAAAATCACTCCTCTTGTACAAGATAAAAGTCTGTTAAGTAAAAGCAACAGTTCATATAAACTGATGAGAATTGACAAAAATTTGGTCTCACAATGTCCACTGCAATAAGCAAGGATTATATGGTTTGGGTCGAAGTTCACATACTTAAACACAAGCATATGAAACTTGAGATGATGCTGATGTAGTCGATTAAGTTTAGTCTGGTATCAGTCATTAAGAAAACATATTATCTTTACTAACGTATTATAGAAAGCAACAATAACCATCTGTGTAAAATTCATAATTTTGTAAGATCCAGAACATAATGATAATCATTTTCTGTTTAAGACACAGGTCAGTAATTCAAAGACTGTTTCCATATCCAGATAATATCACTGTAGCTGCAATTATTTGCCTTGGCCATTACCTGAGTTCTGACCTAGGATTATTAATCCTTTATTTACTCTCCATAAATGTTATTTTAAATGTACAAGAGACCATTTTCAAGCTTTTAATTAGAACACGTCCCACTGTTACTTCTCAAGTGTGGTTCTTCATTTGTAAGTATGAAACCATTTCTCTAGTTACCTTATTAGTAAACTGGAGTGATCTTTGAATGGGTTTTTAGGCATCTAAGGCAAATTAAGAAAAAACAGTAACATGAAAAGATGCCTTTAATTTACCACTAAGTGAAAGAGGGGGAATATGATTTGTATAAATTATGATTATAAACAATATTAAGATCCTAGGCATGAAAAAATACCTGAAAATGCAATAGAATTACCTCAGTTGTGCTAAATTGGTAAAACTGTATTTCCTTTTTCTAGATCCATTTTAACAATATAATTCTTCCAATCCACAAACATATTTTCTCATTTATGTAAGAGAATTTCATACATAAATTTCTTTCATCAATGCTTCACAGTTTTCCATGTATAGATCTTTCATTTCCCTGGTTAAATTTATTTCTAAACACTTTTTCTATGGTACTGCAATTGAGATTGTTTTCTTGGTGTTTTTTCCAGATAGATCACTGTTGGTATGAAGATATGCAACTGATTTTTACATGTTGATTTTGTATCCTGCTGCTTTACTGAATTCATTTATTAGTTCTAATTGTTGAGTCTTTAGAGTTTTTGACATATAGGATCAGGTCATCTGAAGACAGGAATAATATTACTTCTTCCTTTCCAATTAGAATGCATTTTCTTTCTTTTTCTTGCCTGACCGAGCTTGCTGGTACTTTTAGTACTATGTTGAACAGAAGTGGCCTGTTCATAAATGGACTTTATTATGTCGAAGAAATCATCTTCTATATCTATTTTGTTGACAGTTTTTTTTTTTATAATGAAAGAAGATTGAACTTTGTTGAATGCTTTTTCTGTATCTATGGAGATGATCGAGTCATTTTTATTTTTCATTCTGTTAGTAGGTTACTAACACTGACTCTAATGGTAACTTTTGCTAGAGTCTTATTTGGTTTTAAGAGACCACTAAGCAGCCCTAAATGATTTGGTCCCAAAGACTTAACATAGGTTACTCCAAATTCTCTTTGAGTTTGAGTATGAGCTAGAGAAGGTCATTATTTGATGGATATAGCCAACTTAAAAATGTAATTATACCTTGCCATAACTAACTCCGACCTTTCTAAATACTCGTGCTTAAAATTTTGTTGAAATAATATTAAATGAATCATTTAAAAGGCCTTGCAATCATGTAGACCAACATATTTTATTTTGTTTATGAGTCTTGTTTTTTGATATAGTTTTTCATTGTTCTAATATATTAATCCATAATTTTAGGCATCTGTGAAAATGAGTGATTACCAGAATAATCATGTCAAGTCACTGAACCCTTCTGTCATATAAATAATCAAGGAAAAACTCATTTGGCTTTTTTGTTTGTTCATTTTTTTTCTTCAGTAACCTTATTCATTTTATCATGAGGGTAGCATAATCTTCTGAATGTACCACACTGGTTGGGAGTGAAAATGTAAGGTTGAAAGAGTGAATTCATGGGTGATTGGTAAATTTTGATTATTAGAGCAAGCTGTTAAACTCCACTTTAGATTCTAAATTTGATAACAGATTATTTAATTAGCACAAACAATGCTAAAGAGCTGGTGATGTTTTAATACAGTAGCTTACTCATGTTAAGATAAATCTCTATACACTATTGGGGACTGTAAACTACCTATGTTGCTGACAGACTTCAAAGGGCCATCTTTAGGTCTCCATGTCCATTAACAGTTTGGCATCCAATTATGTTTGCTTGTAGGAATTTAGAGTCCATAATTCATCATTATTTTTCAAGAGAAAGGGTGAAACTGATGCTCAGAGGTTAAATGATAAGTCCTGGGCTACATAGCTATTTAAAAGAATGGATCAGAGCTTTTAGTTTGAGTTCAACACATAAACAGCTTGGAAGTTGTCACCCTGAACTTTGCAACAAGAAAAAAAGCTAACCTAACTAAAAATCAATAATGTTTCTTCGATAAATCTGAGGACTGTAGTCACAGAACACACTACCACCCTGAAATCTAAAGAGACAGATGCATCCATAGAGATACAGCTCCTAAAGCTTGCCTGTCTGGAGCAGAAGCCACGGCAATCCCTAGCTGATAGGAATGCTTAAATTGCTATTTTGATGAATTGAGAGAGGTCAAGTTCAGACTAGTGTAAGAGTGAGAAATTCTTGGGAATAGCAGTCTTAGTGAGGTCCCACACATATGTGAGCTTTTGTTACAGAAATCTCTCAAGACCTTATGATGCGGATCTGAGAAAGAACTCCTCCTAGTGTAGGCTGGGGAAGGGATGAGTAGTAATCCTAAAACCCACACAGATTCTACCCCCTAATAAGAGCCTAGTTTATAGAGGTAAGGAATTCAGCAGAGGGCAAATGTAAAACCTTATCTTAGTTCAGGGAAGGACATTCTAGTTTGGAACAGGACTTCAAGTAAATAGATTGGGAATGCCACGGCCAGGGAAGCGAGTGAGAGAACGGGGGATAAAAGCTATGCTCTTGGAAGAGGAACAGAAATACTTCTGAAGGCTTTACTTCTGAGACACGGGCCTATTAAAAGATTGAGTCCTAATAAGAAGAGTATAAAGTCCTCCTTCCCCATTCCACACCCTACCTCAACACCAACAGGCCTCTTAAATAATAAGAATGAATTATAGCCGAATGGCACAGATTTATATTTGGAGGCTTCAACACTCTTTTGTCAGTTACTGAAAGATCAAGTAGGCAGAAAATCAGTAAGATTATAGATGACCTGAATAGCACATCAATCAACTTGATCTAATTGACAATTATGGAATACGCCACTCAACAGTGGCAGATTATCCATTCTTCTTAAGCTCACATGGAGCATTCATCAAGATAGACAACATTCTGGTCCACAAAATGCATATTCATACTTTTTTAGAACATAGAAATCATACAGAGTACGTTCTCAAGCCACAGCAGAATTAAACTAAAAATCAAGAAGTGAAAGACAGCTGGAATATTCCCATATATTTGGCAATTAGATAGCACACTTCTAAATAACCCGTGGAATAAAGAAAAAGTCTCAGGAGAGCGTAAAAAAAATTTTTATTTTAATGAAAATGAAAATGTAGCCTCAAAACTTGTGGAATGCAGCTAATAATATATTTATAATACTTATTATATATTATATTAGAAAAGAAGAAATATTAAAAACAATAATCTCAGCTTCCATTTTAGGAAACTAGATAAAAAAGAGCAGGTCAAACCTAAAGAGAGCTGAAGAAAAAAATAATAAAATTTAAAGCAGAAGTCAATAAAATTGAAAACAGAAAGTGAGTAGGGGACATCAATTAACTCAAATTCTGTTTCTTCAAAAAGATGAATAAAAATGATAAATCTCCAGCCAGGCTAGCAAAGAATAAGAGAAAAAGGAATACTCGACCATATTAGGAATGAATGAGAGGGATAATTACTACTGATTCACTGCACATTTAAAAGGTAAGAGAATACTATAAAAATTTTACACACACAAATTTGATAACTTAGATGAAATAAATTGATGACCTGATGGCACAAACTACAAAATTCTACTCAAAAAGAAATAGATAACCTGAATAGCTTTATGTCTATTAAAGAAGGTGACATCGTAGTCAAAAATCTTCCAAAAACAAAAAAGGAAACAGTTGGTCCAGCTGGATGGTAAACTTTACCAAACTTTTACATAAGAAACTAATTTTACACAATTTTTGTCAAAAAATAGAGGCAAGAAAACCTTTAAACTCATTTTATGAGGACAGTGTTACCCTAATACCAAAACCCAATAAAGACACTGCAAGAAAATAAAACCAGAGAGTAATTTTTAATGAATATAGAGATAAAAATCCTCAACAAAATACGAGCTAGTCAAATCTATTAATATATAAACAGGACAATGCCTCATAACCAAGTGGAATTTACAACAGGAATGCAAGGCTGGTTTAGCATTCAAAAATTAATCAATGTAATCGATTAGATGACAGACTGAGAAAAACAATATGATTGTATCAATAGATTTTTATAAAGAGCATTCAACAAAATGAAAGACCAACTCATAATAAAATGCATGCAAAACTAGAAGCAAAAGGGAATGTTCTTAACGTAATAAAGAGGATATACTAAAAATCTACAGCTAACAGCATATTTATGAGACGTTGAACACTTTCCCATTAACATCAAGAACAAGGAAAAGCTGTTCTCTCTTATTATTCCTATTCGAATTCAAAATAAAATCCATAGGTAGTGCCAGTAAGGCAACAAGAAGAAATACAACTATCTTCTCCTGCTGATGAGATGATGGTCTTTGTAATAACCCTACAGAATCTACTGAAAAAGACATTTCTGAGACTAATAAGCAAGTATAGCAAGGTTGTGGGATGAAAGGTAAATCTTCAGATCTAATTGCTTTCTTTCTTATATACCAATAATGAACCACTGGAATGTAATATTTAAAAAACTATTTGAAATAGCACTGAAAATGAGAGTTACATAAATCTAAAATATATATATGTATAGAATCTATATGCAGAAAACACTTGTAAAAGAAATCAAATATCTAAATAAATGAAGAGATATTCCATATTCATGGATTAGAAGATGCAATATTTTTAAGATGTTAACTTTCCCTAATTTGGTCTATAGACTCAACAGTCTCAAACAAAGTCCTAAGAATTTTTTATAGATGTCAACCAACTGATTGTAAAATGTATATGGAAAAGCAAAAGTCCTCTAATAGTTTCTCCTAGGTCCATTATTCTTCTAAAAAAGAACAAAGTTTACATTACTGAATTTCATGACTTACTATAAAGTTATCAGAATCAAGATAGTGTGGTATTGGACAAAAAAAAAAAAGATATGTAGATGAGTAGGGTGTAGAGCTCAGAAGTAGACTCACACAAATATAGCCAACTGATTTTGACAAAGGTTCAAAGGCAATACAATAAAATAATGATAATCTGTTCATCACATGATACTGCAACACTTGGATGTCCATACACACACAAAGAACTCAAAGACCTCAAAATTGCCCAAAAATTAAATAAAAGTGGATCAAAGACACAACTATACAATGCAAAATATAAAAATTCTAGAAAAAAAGCTGCATGATCTTAGACTTGGTGATGAATTTTTAAATACAACACCAAAAACATGATCTATGAAATAAAAATGATTCAATGGACTTCATTAAAATTAAAAACATTTGCTCTGTGAAACTCAGTACCAAAAGAATGAAAAGACAGGCCACAGGCAGAGACAATGTATTTGCAAATCACAAAGCGAATAAAGGATTTATGTCTAGAATATACACAGAATTTTAAAACTCAATAATATGGAAACAAAGACAAAATTGAAAAAGTAAGTAGATGATTGGAACAGATAGATACTTCACAACAGAAGGTGTACAGATAGCAAATAACATATGAAAAGATGCTCAATACCATTTGTCATTAGGGAAATACAAATTAAAACAATGAGATGCCACTACACACCTAATGGAATAGGTAAAAGGGGTTGGGTACGGGAACATGAAAATACTAATTGCTGGCAAAAATGAGGAACAATAGGAACTTTCATGCTGCAATTTTGGAAAACACTTTCAATTTCTTACAAAGCTAAACATAGTCTTAATATTTAATCTAGCAATAATTCTTCTAGATAGTTCAAAACGATTTGAGAACTTATATCCACAAGAACAAAAACGCTGCATGTGAATATTTTTTCAATTTTATTTATAATTGTCAAAGACTAGAAGCAACCAAGATGTTCTTCAATAAGTGAGTGGATAAACAAACTGTGGTATATCCATACAATGGAATACTGCATAATAATAATAAAAAATGAGCTATCAAGCCATATAAAGTCATGGATGACTCTTAAATGAGTATTCCTACGTGAATAAAGCCAGAAGGCTATATACTGCAGGGTTCCAAGGCAAAAACTATAAAAATGTAAAACAGGTCAGAGGTTACCAAGGTTTGGGGAAGCTTTTGGATAAACATGCAAAACATGAAGGATTTTTAGGGCAGTGAAACTATTTTATATATTACTACCATGGTGGATGCTGCAATAACCCTGTGTAATAACCCACTAACAATAGTACAAAGAGTGAATCAATAAAAGGAACCAGGCCTCCTTGAAGAAATAGATAATGCCAGGGCTGGGACAGAGAATAAACAAGATGATCCTGAAGCTTTATGTAGTGCCAGAAATTATGGAAGTGCTCAGAAAACGCAATGATGGGTGCGTGTCAAAGCAACACTGGAAATATCTCTCAATGGTCCAAGCTAGAACAATCTGATCAATAAAATAAATAATATGGTATTGGATTATAACCCACAGTATACAGTAAATATCCATGAGTCAATACTGATATAAGTCAGTGACAGAAATGTATTGTGTCAATGGAGATGTACACAATTCTATCAATGAAGATGTACACAAAACCTCCCAGAGAAATGCCAAATAATTTTTGTAAATGTTCATCCCTCAAAGTATTTACACAAAACTCTCTACTTAGTGCACTGCACACTAAGTACAGTATGGAGGAGGGGGAAAAAGAAACTTTACAGTGCAGAAACATGACAGATGCTACTTCACCCAACTGGTCAATATTAACATTGACAAATCACATTGATAACATGTACCTTTGATGATACGATAGAACAGTAGTTTTCCCCTGTGAACTTCCTGCCTCAAACCCATAACCCCAACCCATTAACCATGAGAAAAAACATCAGAAAAAAACATGAGGGACATTCTACCTGACATTGGAGATTAAATTTTTCAAATCAAGAGGGCATTAAAGGGATCTTCTAAATAAATGCAGTGATGAAGAGGTTCCACTTTGTGGGTGCCTGTAGCTTTTCTCCATTAATTCACAAAACTGTCAGATCTTCCAAAACAAGGTAAGTGTGAACAATCCTTATTTTAAAAGAGGAACTAAATGGAACATGATGACTAAATGCAATGTGGTACCTTGGACAGGATCCTGGAATGGAAAAAAAAATAGAGAAAAAATGGTGACATCTGAATAAAGCATGGACTTCGGTTATAATAATATATCAACATTAATTCATTAACTGGGACAAATGTACCATAGTAATTTTAACAACAGTGAAAACTGGCAGCTGAATATACAGGAACTCCGTAATATACTTGTAACTTCACTAAAAAAAAAAAAAATGTGGGGCCCAGTGCCCTAACTCAGTTCATTTGCTTTTTAGAAAATATCACACTAGCCTGTCTCAACTCATCCAGCCATTTTTAAATGGATCGATGTATCAATTTATCTTTGTTTGGTATTAAATTTTATTGTTTCTGGAGTGCTGGGCACATAGCAGTCACTCAGTTTCCTGAATGCTAGAAAAGCATCTTCAAGTTCCTGAACAAATATATTATTTTAAGAGAAAAAAGTTGCAGGCATAAACAAATGAAACCTCTTCATCATTGCATTTATTTAAAAGCATCCTTTAAGGCTCTACTTATTTGAAAAAATTAACCCTCATTAATTTTGCATAACACAGCACAGAGGCCAGAAACCATGTTTTCTCAGGAAAAAAAAAAACTTGTTCCTATTAAAATCACAGTAAAAATCACTAGATGTTTTTAGATGGGAGAAAGCAAAAGAATAATACAGGCAAGCTTATAAAATTGCTGAGTTGAAGGGCTCATAAAGGTTTTTCAATTACAAAAGTAATCCTCGGGTAGAAGAGAATTCCAGATTCTGGAGCTCATGTCTAAGAAATTTCTTTTTCCCTTGAGCTTAACCTGTCATTGACAGGCAGCTGTTTTAACTAAATGGCTGAGATAAATGGAGGAGTTACAGGTTTCACCTGCCTCTGCAAAGTCCCAATTCACAAAAGGTCTTAAAGAATTAGGATTTCAGGGCATATAATCACAGAATCATTGAATAATTCAAGTTGTGAAGCTCAATATGCAGATAACATTTCAGAAACATTCATCTCAGTATTCCATGTGGATAACTGAATAATAATAATACACTGCTTACTATTACTTAATTCTGGTAAATTCATTAACAATTTCTATTTTGCCAGTCTGGAAAAATTAGAAAATAAAAATAAAAATGACCTTCCCTATCTTTCATCTATAATAAAATATGGGAATATTACCCTTCAGAAGAAGCAGGAGAAGCCATGATCTCTTTGCATAAGTAATGGTATTAGAACATCTTCCTTGTATTTTAAATACGGAGATCTATCTGGGATCTTTTCTCTCAGAGTTCACCTTCCTTTTATTCACCACTTCCTTTATGAGAATAGGAAATACATTGAATGGAAGCTGGCACAAAAGATAGTTTTGGGAATGGATTAGAAAATCCCCAGTTTATATGGTGCATTGTATTTCATTTCCTAGTTATATGCTTAAGATGCTTATGTTTAAACATTTTATAGCTTCCTCTTGTAAAGCCCTCTCTCTTTTAGTTAAGTACCTTGAAGCCAAGATCTTACATTAAAGTAGAATCTAATTAGACCTTTCAATTCAGAGTGGCTGCTGAACTCTTTTAGCTCCATTATAGAAATGTACAGTAAAACCCCTTTTTTTCCTCTCCGTGGTGAAAATAGCAGTTATCTTCAAGAAGAAGAAGAAGAAGAAAAAAAGACATGAATTATCACACTTCAATTTAAGCACAAGGCTCAGGTAGCTGACCCAGCCTCTTTGTCCTTTTATGTAAGAAGGAAGGTGGTTTTCAAATTTTGAGGCAGCAACTGGGAGTGGGGATGTAGAGAGAGAGCATTCTCATTGCTTTTACACCCTTAAATACACCAAATCTAAAATGCCTTCACATTGAAAGCATGAAAATTGCAGTAACTACTTCAATAAGCAAGTCGTTTAAATATAATTTCTGGCAGCATATATATATATTCACAGGGAAAATGAGTTTAGAAAGACAGTATGTAGTTTTATAAAAAGGAAAGCATAAAATTCTAAATATCCTTGCCAGTGTGTATCCATGAAAGTAATGTCATTAGAAAGAAAAAAGAAGAATTAACTATTGACTAGGATTTGTATTGCTTCCTAACATACATTTGGCATCAAAGAAGCTTTGGGAAAGGGGTAGAAAACATTATAGCAGAAATAGCTCTCATCAATACCAAATGAAGCATGTCAAGCTTACAAGGAGGAACCAGATAGAATTGAGGATGTAAAGGGAGGATGGGCAATTCTAATATGGTCAAATCAGAATGCCCTGCAATACTTCTGAATGAAATAAACTTTGAGATGATGCCCACAAAGATGACGTACTGGATAATGAAGAGTAAAAAGAACAGCCTGCAACCCTCACAAAGCACCAGAGCTACCATAACGATTTTGCACCTTACTCTGTGATCCTTGCCATTATTTAAAAAAAAAAAAAAGCAAAAGACCAGATATTGTCTTTACTCAGGGTGACTAATGTAGGATGTTAATAGACTAGAGGTCTCATACAACAACTGTGTGGTAATTAGCTCCATTAGTATATCGAGCAGTGATATCATTGCGAAGCATTGACAGGTTATGGGGTTTTTTTCCATCATGTACTTGGATGCTTGAAAATTATGCTTTTAGAAGTTATTCATAATGGTTTCAAAGCAATGGTGTACTTTAAAAGGGCAGAACCACCATTCTCATTATCTAACCTAGATACTTACGAAGTTCTCAGAATCAAAATGAGTTTAGTACCCGATGACTATTAAAACTAGTTATATGCCTTTGGATTAAAAGTCCTCATCTCAGGTAAAGCCTTTTCATATTTTCTCGCCTCCCTATGAAATTAAGGGTCGAAGTGAAGAGACAGGAAGGGATCTAATACTAGAGCATGGGTTGGTCAAGTGGAAAGTACAAGCCCAGCCCAGAAGACGCCAGGAATTCTTTAATGACCACTCACCCCACTCCTCAACTGTCCTCTCATGGCTTGCAAAATTTTCTTCAGCCAGAGACCTTTCTATTAAACATAAATCTCACTGGAAGCTTGCTATATGAAACAATGAATAAGAAACTTCCTTGGTTAAGGGAGAATGGAGAGTTTTGAGGGTGAATGGAATGCTGAGGTGAGGGGACTCTTCTGAAGATCTGGAGACTCAGAGGAGTATATTTGAGAACTACCTTCTAGATCCACTCTAGTTGTTTGTCTTCATCTTTACATTCCCTGCTGGAAATTGCTACCAAACACTGGTCCCATACATTTCTTGTTATAGCATAGCCTATGGAACAAGGTACGCCGACAAGAAGATACCAAGTGTATCTCAGGCTATCCTGTTTTGATGTTGAAAGACACTGAATCCTAAAACAAGATTCTTCAGACAGCAGCATATCGATGTATATAATCAGATGTGGCCACCTTCTTTACGCGAGTTCTGAAATCTATCATTAACATGTGACTTGAACTCAGGTGTGAATATTTGGGATGGGAAAGTCAGACAAAAAAACAAGAGGAGGAGACAATGGTCATTTTCAGTACTTGAGGGGGACTAAAAGGGTGCCCAATTTTAAAAATTGTCAGGATACAATACAAAGAGCAGGGGTTTAATCAGAACACCTAGGTTCAAGTCCTAATGTCAATAACTAAATGGCTGAATGATTTTATATTAATACAAGTTATTCATTCACTGTGCATTTCAAAGTTCTTTTCCACAAGATGGACATAGTATTCACAAGATGAACCTATCTTATCTACAAGAAGATAACCATATTCACAAAGTGAACCTATCCATAATAAGATAACCTTATCTGCAAGATGAACCCATCTTAGCATTCAAAGATAGTTGAGACAGTGTAACAAAGTTATAGCATTCTATGCAAGATACCCATTACTGAGGACCTTGCCTCCTTCATATCTCAGGTAATGTAAGACTAATACTGACAAATGTGTTCTCTATTTCTGTTACTCTACTGATTTGCTAACATGTTGTGATTGCATAAAACGTAGTTTAAAATTCACTTGGTCCAAATCTTTGAGATTTCCTGATGCTTATGGAATTTTTAATCTGGAGAGATTTGCACAATTTCAAAATTTGAATGTAAGGCTTATTAATATTAAATAACTACTGACGTTATTATAACAATATGCCAATCTCTCACAAAATTCAACCATATTAAATGTAAAATTGCTTTTTAAATTGTGGTTGTCACCATCACTATCATTGTTGTTGTGAACTCAGATGACTGATTGCTAACTTTGCCTGTCCAGTTTCCTCTACAACTCCACGTGTCACAGTTTCTAGTGTTGTGGGGAAAGAGGATGGGGCTATATGAGAGTGGCCTAGTGACAAACTCTAGTGATTGTCACTACAGATTTTCTTTCATTAATCAAATCAGTTTTTTTAACTTACTCCAAGAGCAGTATTTCCCTGTACATAGTCAGTATTTACTGTACATAAGTACAAAGTGGGCAAACTAGTGCTACTGGACATGAAAGTAGGAAAAGACAAAGAGCCTGCCAGCCTCAGTGGACCACAGAGAGAGTCTTGTTGCAAATGTGAACATTTTTATGTGTCTGCTTAAGCTATTGGTTTGGAAAACCACCTGAAGAAGACAGAAGACATTTGCTTGCTTTTTCAATCATTTAAAAAAATGTTTTTTTGTCACGATTGCTTCCTGAGCAGAGTTATAAATGACATCATAAGACACTTCAAGAACGGAAGGGGTATATTGATGAATATAAATCTAAAAAGGCATGCAGTTTCTCAGAAGCAAAAGTTAAAAATAATTCTTTGTAATCTGGCCATAATTAAAGTGCCACAATGCCTATTCCATATACCAGCTTATCTGGCAATGATAAAACCTTGAAAACTTGAAAAGGTCTATATCCAAGGAGAAAATACGAGAAAAACAACACTTAGGTGTACCATGATAATATTTTTAAATGTGTCATCCATTTTTATTAAGTCAGTGAGAAAAATCTTTGCATTCTTTCTGACAACACAATTTATTTCTTTGAAAATGTTCATGAGATCCTTGAAAAGAAATTATTAAGGCATTTTTTCCAAGAACATCTTTGCCATTTTATTCAAGAAAAAACTCATATACATGTCAGTGGAATCTGGCCAAATCCAATTTCTTTTTTCTTTTAAACGAGGAAGTCAATTTTTTACCCTTGAAAGCTGAGCCTTTAAAATACCACGTGAAGGTTATGGTTCAGTCTGAAGGGATGGTAAAAATGAGAGGAGATAAAGTGAGTGGTAAAACTATAAATAGTTTGTGGTTAATGTCAATAGAGATATTTGGCATTTTTCTTTTAATTTTCCAATTTTACGCAATGTGTATTCTTTTTTTTTCCTTTTTGGGGTTAAGATTTTTTTCCCTTTTGAGGTTAAGATTTGGGGTTAAGATTTTTTCCTTTTTGGACAATAAGACAGCTAGAATATTACCAAGGAGAAAACACATATTCCATACTGTAAGACGGCCCTCCCTCGGAACACTGTAAGCTCTTTTCCGACTACTCTAGTTCATTCCTTACTCACTGACAGTATTGGCCTCCTTGCTTTTGCTCCAGCACCTCAGTCATTTTAGAGCCTTTGCAGTGATTCTTTCCTTTTACTGGAAAGTTCTTCCTACGGAAATGTGCAAGGCTAATTCTCTAACTCAGCTCCAAGTCTTTTCCTGAAAGCCACCTTTCAGTGAGGCTTACACTGAGCACTCTATTCAAAATTGCAACCATCCAACTAACATCTACACTTTCAGTCAATCCTAACCATCTTCTATGTCATTTTCTTTTTTCTCACAGCATGTCTAACCTTCTGACATGCTATTTAACTCATGCTTTGTGGTTATTTCTAATTGTCTGATTCCCTCACCCAAAGTATAAGGTTTATGAAGAAATCAAAAGTCTCAAATGAATGATTCTTAGGTTCCATCTTAAGAAACTAGAAAAGTAGAATAAATGAAACCCAAAATAAGGGGGAAAACTGAAGTAATACACATCAGAGTAGGAATCACTGTAATAGATAATAGAAAAACAATAAAGAAAATAGATGAAAGCTAAAAAGTTGGTTGAGAACATTAATAAACCTCTAACAAAACAGATGAAGAGAAAAAAATAGACAAATTACCAATATCAGAACTGAGAGAGGTGCAGCGCACCAGCATGGCACATGTATACATATGTAACTAACCTGCACAATGTGCACATGTACCCTAAAACTTAAAGTATAATAAAAAAAAAAGAACTGAGAGAGGTGTCATCTCTACAGTATATGGATTTAAAAGAATAAAAAAATGAACAAATTTATACTTATGAATTTGACATCTTAGATGAAATGCACAAATTCCTTGAAAGAAAGAAACTACTAAAGCTTACTCAAGAAGAAACAAGTAACCTGAATAGCCCTATCTATATATTCTAAAGAATTTTAATTTGTGTTTAAAATTCTTTCCACAGAGAAGCTGCAGGTCCAGATGGCTTTCCGGGTAAACAAACATTAAAGGAAGAAATGCTACCAATTGCATACAAACTCTCAGAAAAACTGAAATTTATATTTCCCACCTCATTCTATGATGCTTACATTACCCTGAGACATAAACCAAATGAAGACATTATTTAAAAAGTAAGCCACAGAATAATATCCCTCATAAGCATGGATGTAAAAATTCTAAACAAATTTTAGAAAATCTAATCCAAAAATCTATACAAGTAGAATATGTCTTGATTAAGTGGAGTCTATATTAGAAGTCAAGGATCATCTAACATTAGGAACTCAATCACCGCAATTCACCATATTAACAAACTAAACAAGAAAAGTCATATAATCACTTACACAGATGCACAGAATAATTTACCAAATCCAATGTCAGTTTTGGAATGTCTAAAACTTAATTGAATTAATGTCTAAAACTTAATTGAATTAATTTGAATTGACCTGAGTTGCACTGAGTAGAGTTGAGTTGACTGAATGGAACAAAATTTAAAGAAAAACTAAAAATAAAACAAAATGACTTGCTTAACAATGGGATTAAACTCAGGTGAAGTAGAAGGAGTATGGAATTTCAGTGAGTTAAGTTTCTGAATTTATTTTATTTTATTTTATTTTATTTTTTTGAGACAGAGTTTAGCTCTTGTCACCCAGGCTGGAGTGCGATGGCATGATCTCGGCTCACTGCAACCTCTGCCTCCCAGGTTCAAGTGATTCTCCTGCCTCAGCCTCCCGAGTAGCTGGGAATACAGGCACCCACCACCATGCCTGGCTAATTTTTTTGTATTTTTAGTAGAGATGGGGTTTCACCATGTTGCCCAGGCTGGTCTCGAACTCCTGACCTCAGATGATCTGCACGCCTCAGCCACCCAAAGTGCTGGGATTACAGGCGTGTGCCACCGTGCCTGCCAGGTTTCTGAATTTTTATATTAGCTCAGTGATGAAGCACTCAGATGATAAGAGAAAATAGAAAGAATTTTTAAATATCACAAATCGCAATTAGTTCCTAACTCTATTCAGCAACAGCAGTAAGCTGATGATTGGATATATTTGTATGTAATTTTTATACAGTAAAAAGCTCATGAGAATTATAGAGCTTTTACATATATTTATATATATATAAAATACATATTTATTCATAAAGTGTGTATATATAATATATATATATATATGGTCTGCAAACTAGGAATTAAAAGTAACATCCTCAACTTGATAAAGGACATCTATGAAAAAAATTCAACTAATACCATATTTAATGGTAAAAGACCTAATATTTCCTCCTAACATTAGGAAAAAGAGAAGAGAATCTACTCATACCACTTCTATTCAATATCGTACTCAAGGACCTAGCTAATAATATAAGGCAAGAAAAAAAGTAAAAGCATGCATTTTAGAAAAGAAGATTTTTAAAAATTGGAGAAAAAAACTTAAAGAAAATGAAACTTAGGAACCTGCAGAATAACAGCAAAACATCTAATATGTGCATAATTTGAGTCCCAAGAAGAAAGAGAAAAAAGAATAGGGCAGAAAAAATACTTAAAGTAGTAATAACCCCAAACTTTCAAATTTGGAGAGAGATATGGATTTACACATTTTAGAAGTTCATTAAATTCCAATCCAGATAACTAAAATGAAAAACACACCAGGGTATATTGTCTTGAAACCGCTGAAACCAAGATTTTTAAAAAGAGGTATTAAAAGTAGCCAACAATGTATAATTTACAGGTGAGCCATGATAAATAATCACTGACTCCCTTATCAAAACACTAGGGATCTGTAGATGGTAGAATGACATTTTTGAAGTGCTTAAGGAGGGGGAAAATAATGTCCACTCAGAATTATATATCCAACAAAAATATCCCTCAAAAATTAACAGAAAATTCATTTGCAGACATGGAAATTAAAGGAATGTGTTGCCAATAGATGTATACTTCACAGAGTGATAAAGGAAGTTCTCCAGACCAAAGCAAAATCGTAATAAACAGACACTGGGATCTACTGAAAGGAATGAAGACCACTGGAAATGATATTTATAGGGATAAATAGAACACATTTTTTCTCTGAATTTAAAAAATATATATTTGCCATGGTTTATTCCAATTCTGCTTGTATCTTCCAGGCAGACCTTTCTGCTTGCCTGTATAGACATACTGCCAGGAGTCGCAGTCTGCATTGTAAATATTTGTTCTTATCTCTTTATGTAAAAGCCCATTTCTAGGCCCCAGTTCATGTGGATATTTGTTTGGGGTTAATTCCCAATAAAATGAGCAAGGAAACATCTTCCTTGTAACTTATTATTTAATATATCCTCATCATCTTTATTCAACACTATGTTGGTTTATGTCTTTTTGGCAATACAGCTTTCCAGAAATGCTTAAAGACTTTTTCATGGACCATAAAAGAAAGAATATAAGTCTAAAGGCACTTAGGTATATGTCTCTAGTGTCTGGTGGTTTGTAATGCCACCTGCTGTAATAAATGTTACCCTTAAATGTCCATGCCTTAACACAGTAGAGGTGATTTCTCAGCCAGTTAGAACCCAGTTGGTTGGGATAGGAAAGCTGTTGCCAGTCCTTCAGGAGGAAAGGCTGACAGCAGCTCTTACATTTTCAGTTGGATGCTTCTAAAGTCACCCTTTGCCTTCACATCTAGATGAAAAATGACGTGATGAAATCAGGGTTGTTCTTCCTCTAAAGCCTCCTAAGGTTTATTATTTTTGTTTGAACAGACTAATGAGAAGGAAAATAAAAGGTATGAGGAAGGTTTATAATAAGCAGCGGAACATGTCGACTTTATAGGCAGAATTTTCACAATAACTCATCTCATTAATATCCTTCCTAATGCCAGCAATGCCTTCTCAATCCAATTAGCCTATGTGACTGAAAGTGCTCTTACATATCAGGTACGCAGGGAGATGATGGACAGTGGGGAAAGAGGAATGATTGGGAGGTAGGGCATTAACAAAAAGTAAGCAATAAATGAAAGACAAATGGACCAGGTCTCAGATGTAAAACAAATGGTAAAAGTAATAAGGAAGAAAATGAAGCCTGAATGCACTAAATAATAACAGTGATATTTCAGAAAAAGGGAATTCTTTTATTAGGGTAAAGATCAGCTAGGTCTTTGGAACTTAAGATGTAGTAGACTTTTTTTGAAATGTAAATGGTTGGTCTATATCACCTTTATTCAGTTTTCAAACTCTCTTTTTAACTCTCTTTCCCTTTAGGCATTGCCCTTTTGGTAGCCTCTGAAGTCTTCAGAGAAAATCTGGGCCTTCAAGGGCTCTGTTTAAAAAACACTGGCTGATAAGTAGCCTGAGGTCATCTCTAGAAATAATACCTTTATTGGAGTTCCTACCGCCACCAAAAAAACATTTCTTTTTTTTTTATAAAATCCTACTCATTTTACAAGGTTCATCTCTAAAATAACCCTTCTCTGAAACCTTCACTGACCCTGCTCCAAAACCTGGGTATTATCTTCCTTTCTGATCCCATTGCACCATGTCTGACTTGCTAGTGTGACAATACCATTTTGTGTTTCTGTAGATAGTCCAATAGACTTTAGCTCTTACAGCAACTTTATTTTCTGAATGAAAAGAGCAGTGCCCAGTCTATAGCATTTGCTCTGTAAATGGAAACAGAAATGTCTAAAACATAACTAAATTGATTTGAATTGACTTGAGTTGCATTAAAAAGAGTTGAGTTGACTGAATGGAAAAAAAGTTAAAGAAAAACTAAAACATACAAAAAACAGAAAAGTGACTTGCCTAACAAAGGGCTTAAGCTCAGCTGGACTAGAGGCATGAAATGCAGTGAGGTAAGTTTCTAAATTTTTTTATTAGCCCAGTGATAAAGCATGCAGATGATAAGAGAAAATGGAAAGAACTTTTAGATATGACAAATCTCAACTAGTGCCTAACTAGATTTAGCATCAATAGTTTAAGGGATGATTGCATATATTTACATGCAATTTTGTACAGTAAAAACCTCATAATGAGAACTAAAATTAATTCTATACATTGAGAATTATGGATCCCAAACTGTAGGAAAACTGGTGCTTTAATATTTAGCAGAGTGAGAGAATGATGAGAAACTTGTGTTAAAATGGGGAAAAAGACTTTATTTCCAACAAAAACACATGACAAAGAAGGAATCCTCAAGATTATATAAACATGTGACAAAGAAGGAATCCTCAAGATTATATATTGTTTCAATAAAAGTGGCAGGACAAGTAAAAGAAAATCGTAAGTTAAGGAGCATTTTTGAACACCCACTATGCTAGGCACTCTTACTACATACCTGTAAAACTTAATTCCATTATTTCTCCCAATAACCTGGTGATTTTACAGATTTTAAAAAAGAGATTCAGCAAAACAATTGAGCACATGGAGCTAGAGAATGGAAGGATGGTTACCAGAGGCTGTGTAGAGTAGTCGGGGAGTGAGTGGAAAGCGGAGATGGTTCATTGCTACAAAAAAAGTTAAAAAGAATGAATAAGACCTAGTACTTGATAGCACAATAGGGGACTGTCGTCAATAATAATTTAATTGCACATTTTAAAATAACTTAAAAAGCGTAATTGGATTATTTGTAACACAAAGGATAAATAATACCTAAGAGATGAATACCCAATTTTCCCTGATGTGATTAGTATGCATTGCATGCCTGTGCCAAAATATCTCCTGTACCCAATGTATAAACCTACTACGTACCCATAAATTTAAAACAAAATTTAAATATAAGATTTAGGACGGTTAGAAAATGTATCCAGAATTATATCTGGCAATTCAAACACAGCTATGTTCAATTTTAAAACACATGCCTTATCCAGGAAATCAAATATATATCTGCATGTCTTATCATTCTTTTATAGGGACAACTGTACCTGCTTTGCCCAGTTTCAGGTACCGAGATTTCAGTTACAGTTTTCAGTTGGCTTTAGCTGTTTCGGGTTAAAATTCTTGACATTTTTAAGTTGTCTGTTCATTTGTTTGTATATCACTTGGGAATATACAATACCATTATGAAGGATTAATTAATAATAATGGCTAGAAGACTTCCAGTAGCTGCAGGCAAAAGCAGGTGGGTAGCAGACAGACAACTTCCCAAAATCTCTTCCTCAACAATATGAAATAACTTCACATCTATGAAAATTCAAAGCTAAACTACATTTCCCCAAGTTACTTGAAAACATAGAAAACAAAAAGAGCAAAATAATTGCATATAAAAAAGAAAAGTAAATAAATACAAGGGCCAAAGCAGTCTCACATGCTCAGTCTTCTGTCTGCCCTCTGTGTGACCAGCAAGCATAGACCAGGAAAAAACCTAAAGACTTCAGAACAGGAACACTAGCTAAGAGGGCCTGAGTGTGAGTTGGTAGCATCAATGTTACGGATTGAGTGTGTCCTCCCGAAATGTATATGTTGAAGACATAATCAAATGTGATAGTATTAGGAAGTGGGCCATTGGGAGGTAATTCAGTTTAGATGAGGTCATGAGGATAGAGTTCTCATGATGGGATCAGTTCTCTTCTATCAAGAGAAAGAGAGAGATTACTCCCTCTTCCTTTCTCTACCATGTGTGGACACAATAAGGAAACAGCCATCTATAAGCCAAAAAGAAGACTCTCACCAGAACTCAACCATGCCAGTGCCTTGATCTTGGACTTCCCAGTCCCCAGAATTGTGAGAAATAAATGTTCCCTGTTTAAGCCACTCAGTCTATGCTATTTTGCTGTAGCAGTACGAAGTGACTAAGACAGACAGAAAAAATAAACCCACTGTAAATCTGAGAGGAAAATCAAATAACTGAGCAGATCAAACCAAGCACCGCATAGAAGGGATTTCAAAGTATGTGTCTTAAAAGGGAAGATATAAAAAAATAAATAGCAAGGCTTCAACCTTTATGAAGCAAAAACTGCAGGAGGTGCCGAAGATATATGGACTAGGAGACCTAGCTAGATTAGGGTGAGGCAAGCGAGAGTGTAGTAGAGTTCAATAAATGTCGATTCAAAAAAAATCCATGATGACTAAATATAAAATTGTAAATAAACACAGGATCTGTCCCTTCACTTACACAACTCTGCTTCACTCATCTCACTGCAATCTTGGCCCAGATTCCAATAAACTTTTTATATAAACAGGATGCTGTCCCATAGGCTTATAGTATACTTATTTAACTTTTGTAAGTACTGCATTAAAATAGTATTTATCTTGATAAATAGGTTTTTTGGTGCACCATTAAATTTTGCATCAAAGTGAGTACCTGTCATAACTTCCTTGTCCCTGTCTTGCTAATAGGAGGCTTTAATACACTGCTCTCGTTTTAAGATAGATAAAATTCACAGAAAATAAGTAAAAAGACAAAAAGTTACAAAAAGCACCAGATAGTTAGATGGTTTCACAGGAGAACTCTACCATGTTCTTCAGACTAGATATTCCCAATACTCTATAAATTATTCTAGAGCATTGAAAATGAAGGAAAACTACCTAATTCCTTTCTCTTTTTTTGAAGAATAACTGATAATTAAACCAGATAAAGACAGCACAAAGAAAGAAAACTTGAGACTAATATTACTCATTAATATGAATTTTTAAATTCTGATCACAGATCAGTAATACATTAATAATAATAATAATATACTATGGTCAAGTGAGATTTATGCCAAGAATACAAGGTTGGTTTAATATTGCAGGTTTTTGGTCTCCAGAACTATGACAGAATAAATTTATGTTGCTTTAAGCTACAAGATTCATAGTCATTTGCTGTGGCAGCCCTTGAAAACTAATCCAGTTAGTATACATATGTAAATTTCCCAGCTCTGTCTGCTGCAGAGCCTGCAAACAATGACACCGCAATAGCAGTGGGTAGACCTAGCACCGAATTTTAACTTTCTAAACACCATTCCCCAATGAAAGGAACTAGGACTTTTTGAAGAAATGATTGAAGCCAGGACTGGGGCAGGGAACATACAAGATGAGCCTGGAATATTATATGGTATCAGAAATCAAATAAGCATTCAAAAAAGATGAGGGCTTGATAAAAGAAAAAGGACCCAACCTGCTGGAGGAACTTGAGCAACAATATAAATATGAATAGCATTTGATTATAATCCATAGACCAAACTTAAAATATATAATTAATAAATAAGAGAGAAGGGACAATTCTTCCTCAGAGTAGAATTTTAATGAAAAAAGATAGAAGCAAAGAGGAAACATAATAACTGTCACAGACAAGGTCGACTAAGGAGTGCTGAATTCAATGAGAAAAAGTTTAAGGAGAAACAGAATTTGTATATTCTCAAAGGGTCTTCCCCAAGTTATTTATTAACTACATAGGGTAGAAGAGTACTTTTATAGTCGGAAAAAACAGTAGAAACTACCTTTGCCAAGTAATCAAAGTTAATGTTACCAATAATAAAACGTGAACATCATGGATCCCATGATATGATACACTGAGAAGGGCCCACACATCTCTGTGATATTCTTGCCAAAGATGCATGACTTTAGCTCAATGACTAGAAAATGCTGCCCAAATCCAAATTAGGAAAAAGTAAAAATGATTTGTGTATTTCAGCCATGCAATAAAAAACCTGTTCAAATTTATTTAAATTAACTTCAATTTAAGTTAACTCCAAGTTAAGGAACACTTGAAACAACCAGTCAATGATCTTTAAAAGGGTGAAGGCTGTGGAAGAGGAGGAAAGATTGAGAAACTCTTACAGATTGCAGAAGACTAAGGGGAAGTAACAACCAATCCCAAGGTAACATCCTGGATAGCATCCTGGAACTGAAAGGACAGTAGAAGAAAACTTAGTGAAATTCAAATATAGAAGTCAATTTAGTTAATAGTACTGTACCAGTGTTAATTTCTTGATTCTGATCATCATACTATGGTTATGTACAATGATGGCATTAGTAGAAGCTCCATGAGGGAAACTGTATCATTTTTGCAACTTTTCTGTAAGTCTGAATTGAGTTCAAAATAAAATTTAAAGATGACTAAACATACAAAGTAGATGAAAATAACACAGGTTGCTACTCAGTTGATTTAAAGTACACACAAGTGCATCACTAATGCTTGAGGGTGAAGTTCTCCTCTCTTCTCCTCCTTCTTGAATTCTCCCCTTCTTCCTTTCCTAGCTTTCTTCTTTCTTTCTTCCCCACTCTCTCTTTTATCTTTCCTTTTATACTGGATGAGGAAACACATCCCATAGCAGAACACTTGTACAACCTTGCTGTGGCTTCAGAGCATTTTCAAAGCATTTATAAGGACTCAAGAAACAATTCTCTGATTGAAATCCAACCAAGAAGTAATGTGTTTCCATTTGACAAATACAGTCTTTTTTCTCTGGGCCAGGTTTAGCTTCACTTCCCAGACTGTTTGCAGCAACTGTAATCAATAGCTATTTACTTCCACTAAGCTGAGGAAAGAACTTAAGAATTAAGTGTTGCAGTAGAGACAGGTTTTCAAGAAAAGAAGGAAAGAATGCCAGTAAAATTTCTTTTCAGAAAGTGTTTTTGTCCCAATGTCTGCTTATGAAGAAATGAACCATTTGTAGTAGTTAACATAGATTTTTTGAAGGGAGGCATAAAAATATATAATCTCTGAAATAAGTATCAATGACTGTTTTTGATTTATTTAACTTTTAAAATTTAAGATAAGATCCAAAATTCTTTCTGTGTGCGGGTCTATTTGTGATTGGTGGGAAATGGGGGCAGACGCTGAGATCAATTATCTGTCTATTCCTACTCCAGGTAAAGGTTTCCATCACCACCATCATCAATAAAAGAATTATGCGACGAGTACAGTGGCTCACACCTGTGATCCCAGCACTTTGGGAGGCAGAGGCAGGTGGATCACTTTAGCCCAGGGGTTCAAGACCAGCTTGGGCAACATGGCAAAACCCCCTCTCTACAAAAAGTACAAAAACAAACAAACAAGCAAAAAACCAACACACACACACCTACAAAAATTAAACGGGCATGGTGGTGGCACAAGCCTGTAGTCCTAGCTCCTTGGGAGGCTGACATGGGAGCATCACTTGAGGTGGGAGGTTGAGGCTTCAGTGAGCCAACATCACACCACTGCACTCTAGCCTGGGCCACAAAGAGGAATCATGTCTTGATATAAAAAAAAAAGAGAGAGAGAGAATTCTGCATGTCTTTACTTCACTGCCCACACGGCTTGAGCCGCAGTCAAAGAAGCAGGACAATGTCATGGTCATTTAAAAAAAAGAGAGAGAGAGGACTGTTTTGTGTTCTGAAGGAAAAATAAAAGCTTTTGGCTAATGGAATATTGAGTAAAAACTAGTTTATCATATTATATAATTACAGAGTAATGTTAGGCATCTTTTATGAAGGGAGCAGACTGGATAAAGGAATTAATGGGGAACAAATCAAAGGCCATGTGCCATGTAGTACGGGAAAAGCATTATGAGTCCTTCAGCAAGTTAACTTTTTCAAACTATTTCCTCTCTCTAAAGTTAGGAACTTTATATTGCTAAATTTTGTCCATACCTATAAATATGTGCAATTTCACTAAGTCTATTGAATTTGACTCCATGTTTAGTGATAATGTACTCATGCATTCAATGCTTTCAAAAAGGACTTATGTCTATGATTCAGCTCATGTGTTTTTTTTTCTTTCTCTACTCATCATACTGTTGCTGAGAAATTCTGTTTCCAAATATATGTCTACAGGACATATATTATATATAGTACATTTACCTAAGAACTCTAAAGAGTACAAATTATCTATTCAGAGCCCTGTTTTTAAAGATGAGATTTCAGAGCTTACAGTGAGTTTTATCTGAGAAAAGAAAGGTTGCAGGAAAATCTGATATCCATAGATAATTTCTAATCTGGCTTTGGATCCTATTATGTCCATGAAATGCATGCTAAATTCATTAATAATAACTTTATTTTGCAAGTCAATGAACACTTTCTCAGTTCTTATTTTAACAGATGTGGTTAAAACTGACCTCTGCTTGAAAATAATAATGCTAAGGAGGCCTAGCTGTCCTGCTCTTTGTCTTGTCATCAGTTTGATGACCTGATGCCCCCCATTGTCCAGGATTTGATGATTAGCCCATGTTTGCTTCTCACTGACTGCTCACTTCAAGATTTATACCTGGGTTTTTTTAAATCAGATATGGTAAGGTAACAGACGTGGAGACAACTGCCTTTGAAAGAAGAATTTACTTCTTACATTTCACAAGAGAAGGGAGCATGCCAGGCCACAAAGGCCACATGGGGAAGGAAGCACCAGGTTTCATCAGGTGGCAGAAGCAAGAGGAAAAGGAAAGCCCAGGCTAAAGCATTTATTGGGTTCTCCATAGGAAAAGGCAAGACAGGGCAGGGGAATGGCTTTGGATAGGCAGTTTAAAAAATTCTGGAGGGCCTTAAGGCATAGGGGCTGTCTCTAGTCTTTGGGCACCAGTACTTGGGTTGATTTAGGCCAAGGGAAATAAATATTGGCTTGGTATGTGAGACTTAGGTAAAGAAGTGTTTCAGCATACGGGCTCTGGATCCCAGGAGTTGTAAACAACTTCATCCATTTGGCTCTCTTTGGCTCTATAGTTAACGGATGCCAAATAGATAAACACAGAGTCTAAGAAAACACAATTAGAGTTTACTGTGAATTTTTAGATTTTTAACAATACTTACATCCATCACTTAAATCTAGACCTGCAGATTCTGCGAGCTTCATATATATCTATTAGAAATCTCCTCATGAATGTGAATGCACATCACAATGTGCAGATATTCAAAACTGAAGTTATTATCCATGCCCTGCAGAGCTGAGCTTTGTCCTCTATTTCCTACTTTGGTTGTCACCATTATTATACATCCAATCACCCAAGTCATAAATCTGAAAGACAGTGTTGCCTTTTCAATCTTCCTTACATGCAATGAGCAATCATCAGTCCCTTCTGTCCTTATCTCTTACATATTCTTTGAATCTGTATGTTGTTACAAGTTCATAATCCCTTAATCCATCGGTACAACTATCAATGTATATATAACCTCGTTAAAAGTCTCTCTACTTTTGGTTCTACAAGATATGGACTTAATTACTCCCTTAATTACTCCCATTTTTAGTGGCTCCTCATAGTCCCTGTGGCAAAGTCCAAGCTGCCAGCACAACACTCATAGCTTTTGGTGGTAACACATGCAATTATTTTTCCCAGTTTTATTTTCAACTAACTTTTCCATCACACTTTATGCTCCACAGTAAAATACTTGTGTTTTCTTTTCTAAAAAAAAACAAAAACAAAACAAAACAAAACAAAAATGTGTTATTTTATCTCTTTGCTAGTATACATTCTGGCCCTCTCATTTGAAATGTCTTCTACTCACATCCATCCGTTTGGCAAGTCCTTTTTGTTTCAACATCCTGCAGAATTGGCTCAGGTCTTAGTTCCTTTTGAGAACCTTCTTTAATCCATCCTTTTCCTTTGTACTACTTCATTTCTTTGTGCTTTTCATTGCATTTCTCCTAATGGATGGTAAAGATTCCTATACCTCTTCTTCTTTCTCTTCTGGCCCCTTACCTAAAGTTTCATGAGGGCAGGACTATGTTGCACATCTGTGTCTTAATAGCTCCTATCCACAGTCTAATACCCTAGCAGGCAGTCAAGAAATGTTCATTGCACTAAAATCAACTGAATTTAAAAACTTTCAGAACACTTATCTGACTGGGGAACCACAATAAAAGTTATGAAGCAATTTGTTCCTCATAGGGGAGCATGTTTTCCTGAGAAGTCCAAATATTTTTTTTCTATAACATGTTGTGTTTTTTCTTTCTTTTTTGATTCTACTGTTAGGCAGCTGTGGGACAATGTACAATTTCTTCCCAGCAATGAAAGCTTTGTTTAATATATGCAGTACCTTTTGTGCCTCACTAATAGTCCCCAAGGATCTCCCTCTTAAAGAATATATGGAGAGTGAAAGAAATGCTAAGAGAACAGTCTATGCAAATAATGCAAACAAGAATTGAAGAACAGAGTGTCACAACAGACTCTAAACTCTCCTCAAAACATGATTTCCATAATTTCAGAATGCCCCTTAATTGTGCTCTGGAGAGGCCAACTTATAAATAATATTAATACCTTTTTATAAAAGAATGCCCCTTAGCAAAAAAAAGTCTATATGAAGAGTAAGTTGGTTTGAAATGTTTGAATAAAAATCCCACAATAATGTATTCATTTATTTATTAAATACATTTAGTAATGAATTTTAAACTCTAGGCATCAGTTTCTAGGTATTTACTATTTGGGAGTGTAACTAGATTTTCATTTTATCCTGAGCTATATTACCAGGTAGACAAATCCAATATTCTCATAAATTCCTTGACCCTGTATTCCAGATCTTGCCTTTCTTATTCACTCTTTAGTTATTCTGTCATCCTCCTGAGTCATATATGTCTAAAATGACTCACTATAGGTAACAATGTGTTTTTATAAATGTATGTAAGACAAAATCAAGATGTATAAGTTAATATTTGATGATAAAAATATAATTGAACAGTCTTAATATTAAGAGCTTCTAAATATTATACAGAGAACACAGTAGGAAATGTTTCCTGGATTCTTAATTTTACTAAGTATTGAAAATAACAGAATCAGAGTTCAGCATTTATGCTATAAAAAGGAATACAGAAAAAAGATTTCTAATATTGATTTAAAGATCTCTTCCCTGTATATCACACCATTTTGATTCTGGAATAAGTTGGTCTTCTTATGCTAATTAAAGTCCTATTTTTAAAATATATCAATTTTATTAAAAATCAAACTAACCGTTAAATGTTTTTTAAACTCATAATAGATTTCATGAGAGTAAGAAAATTACATGCTCACTGAAATAGCTATAAAAGCTATATTACAATTTGCCTTCATTCAACAAATTTAGAAAAAAAGTACCTGCATATTAGTAATAACAAATCAAAATCAACAAATAAGTTTATCCTTACATACTAATTTCTGTAATTTATTAATTAAAAGACTGGTGAGTATAGGTGAGAACTTGGAAAATATGTAATTCATGACTCCCTTCCCCCTCCTTGCCTTTTATTTTCCAGATGAGCAAACTGAAGTATCTTCGTCCAGTAGTTAGAATTGTATAGTAAATGTATGAGCCCTTTTGCAAAGACATAAAAGATATACATAATATCATTTATGTAATATTCTTGTAAAATATTTACCTTTAATCTTATAAACAATCAGACCCATTCAGGATGTGGATTTCTACGATAGATAAATACCTAGTAATATGAATAGTAGTTTTAAAATATTTTTATTTATTGACCAATTAATTTGAAGTCTAGGCTTAAATAATTAGTGGGGACACAGATTTAAACATTATGCTAACCACCACACTGTTATTATTAATAATAAAAGATTTAAAATCTAATTATGAAATCATATTGAAATCAATATTTATCCTGCATTGATTGAAGAGCATGCAGCTATTCTGAAAAATATATTTTCGGTGAATATTTAATTAGATAAGAACAGAAAAACATTCTTTGTATAATATTATGTGAATAAACCAGCATATACAGTATATATACATCATACATCTGAATGTGTGTATGCAAGAAGTAAAATGTTACAAAAAATGGAGCAAAATAAAAATAGTTATATCTCAATGGTGGAAATACTTCCTCTGTTACTTTCTGAAATTTTCTAAATTTTATTTTATATGTTCATATAACCTGTGCAAGCTGGATTATATTTAAAGAGAAAATTTTAGCAGTAATATTTTCAATCAACCAGTGTACTCATTGTAAATAAAGAATTCTGTGTATTGACATAATTAATATTTTCTAGAATAATCTCTGCTTCTATTATGAATTTTGTATAATATTTGGTGTTCTTGATTATAATGGTGGTATTCATACTCTTAAATGTTCTGTAACCCAGGCCATTTTTTTATTTCAACTGAACTTACTACCCACTGGTAATATTGCATGGTGCCACATATCTATATCTTGAAGCCCATTTTATGCCACAAATAGATTCAACAATATAAATACGTAAGTGACAGCTAAGAAGAGTATTACAAAACATAGTACAGTGACAAATAAGAAAAATTAGGGCCCAGAAACAACAAACAGACTATTAACCCATTAGGATAGCTACTAACAAAAGAAAGAAGAGAAGAGAAAACAAAGTGGGAAGGCAAGCGAGCAAGAAAGAGGAAAGAAAAAGAAAATAACAATTGATGGTGAAGATGTGAAGAAAATGGAATTTTTGTGTATAGTTGGTGGGAATATAAAATGGTGTAGCTGCACTTTGGGAAGCTGAGGCAGGCGGATCACGAGGTCAGGAGATCGAGACCATCCTGGCTAACACAGTGACACCCCATCTCTACTAAAGATACAAAAAATTAGCCAGGCGTGGTGGCAGGCACCTGTAGTCCCAGCTGCTGGGGAGGCTGAGGCAGGAGAATGGCGTGAACCTGGGAGGCGGAGCTTGCAGTGAGCCGAGATGGCTCCACTGCACTCCAGCCTGGGCGACAGAGCAAGACTCCGTCTCAAAAAAAAAAAAAAAAAAGGTGTAGCTGCTAACATAAGAAAAAAAAGTAAAAACACATAATTACCATATGGTACAACAATTCCACTTCTGAGTATATACCTCAAAAAATTGAAAGTGGGGACTTGAAGAGATGTTTGTGAATCCATGTCCATAGCAGCATTATTCACAATTGCCAAAAGATGGAAGTCACCCAAGATGAATGGATATATAAAATGCGGTATATACATGCAATGGGATATTATTCAGCCTTAAAGAGAAAGGAAATTCTGCTAAAACATGGATAAATCTTATGGACATGATGCTGAGTGAAATGAGCCAGTCACAAATACTGTATGATGCCTCTTATATGAGTAGTCAAACTCCTGCAGACTGATGGTAGAATGCTGGCTGTCAGGGCTGGGGGAATGGAAAATGGATTTATTGTTTGAAAGGTACAGAGTTTCAGTTTCATGAGATGGAAAGAGTTCTGTAGACAGATGGTGGTGATGGCAGCACAACAATGTGAATATACCACTGAACTGTACACTTTACAAATTAAGGTAGATGTTATACTCTGTGTACTTTACCACAATTAAAAATTCTTTTAAAGAGGGAGTCTACAAAAACAAACAAACAAAAAGAATCTGAGTAGCTAAGCTAGCAAACACCAAGCGTAGTACTGGTATCTAGTCACGTACTTTAAAGTATGTCTATTTTTTTCCTGACATATTAAAACCCTAGTTAGCAAAGCAGTAAAATTTTATAATAAGTAAGACAAAGTACAGTCTAGGTACCATTATTCATTTGAAAAAATAGTATTGATTAAAGGAACTGAAAGTATCTAAGGATATCAGGCTTTAAAATAATATTAAGAAATTTCATGGCTGAGAGGTAAAATTTAGGTGTTTGTCTTTTACAACTCTTTTACCATAGTATTCAAGAGTTCAGAATCTACTATATAGATTATTTTTATGTTCAAAAGAAGTATACAAAAGAATAATGTTGAAAAATTCTAATTTCTTTATTAAAGTGTTTTAAGTGAGTGCATTATTTTTTCCAGCACAAGACCTCCCAGAATAGTGGAAAGGGTCTATATGAACTCATGAGGAAAATAGACCTGCCTTTAAATTTCATGCAACTCTTTACTAAAAAATGAACTTAGGCATGTGGCTTATCTTCTCTGAGTCTGAAATTTTCTAATTGTAAAATGGGGGTGACAAAATAGGCTTACTAGTATCATTAGAAGTATTCAAGGCACATTTAAATTACACAATGCTAATCACATTAAAGATAGCTATATTTGTAAACATTCTTTAATTTAACTAATAACTAAAGACTATCTCAGAATCATCCAGAGAATGGTAATAACCATACATTTGAATATTGGGAGAACCTTGGCATAGAGAATCCACTACCCAAAGGAGATCCCAACCAATATGAATACTGAATGAATTTTCCTGTGAGTAGTGTAACAAGACACCCAATTAGTACAGTTAGAAGATAATGCATATTTTTCAGTGGAAAATGTAATTTAAAAAATAACTTCCAGAGTAAACAAAAAGATGTTTATGTTTTTGTTGCCCATCTTAGCAACGTTCCATTCCATTGAATAGGGAGAACTGTATTGATTGCATGTTAGATGTTGTATATCTTACTTGGAAAAAGCTGTACATGGAAAATAACTCAAATTCTATTTGAAAAAATATACTGCACATAAGCCTGTACAAAATACTTCCCAAATGGTTATTTTTGTATGCAATTTAGAAGGCAACTTGGTAAAGTGGAAACATCTGTGGAATGGGAACTAGGAAACTTGAGTTTTGAGCTGACACAAGTGAAATCTCAAGAAGTTAATTTAATCTCTCTCTCTAAACCTCAGTTCTTTATGGGTAAAATAAAAGCTTGAACAAAATAATTTCTAAGTTTCTTTCCCGAGGGAATGAACACTTATCTTATCCTATCTATTTATACTAAAATCAACTCTGATCTCAATTTAGTCTCAGATTGACTCTCTTATCTCTATTTCTGATATATTTTGAAGATGAGTGACACTATAATTTTTAAAAAGTAGTGGCAAGAAAATTGGTTACGGAATACTTCTCCCTTAATATATAATTAAATGACTCAAAATGTATTTAACTACAACAACAAAGGAAAAAAACACCAGGAAATTTCCAGCTCACTTAATGGGAAAATAGTTTATAATCTCATAAACTGTAATGATGTTGTCCATGGCTAGAAAGATGTGTTTGTGGCCAAACACTTGGCCTCTCAATCTTGCCTCTACCTCACCTTTACTCCCAGAAGAGGTGCATTGAAAAAATGTACATGAACAATATCTTGAGAGTTCATAAATACCCTGCAAATGGAAGACAGGTTGTCTGAGGCAGTGTGACTATAACAGCTTTTGATGTGATTGTAGTAAAACTGCTTATCTTAGAAGTCCATCGACCCACTCTAGGACTTTAGGAAAGACAAAGGCTTTGGGGGCCTTCTGGAGCACAGTGCTGGCCAGGGGATGAAGTTGAAGTACAAAGAACTTTATGGGTAGAGTGGGTAGTGATGTTGTTCACTTAAAATGTACCTCAGAAGGGAGAAAGTATTTCAAGTCTCCCATCAAGGGCTCTTCACATAGATTAAAGGTAACTCAAGGAAAAGTAATTCCCATCTTTAGAACTATAGTTTAAAGAGAAAAATGGAACATTTCAGCTAAGGATAAATTGACATGAATAAGGGTTATCCACACAATATCAGAACAATTAACTCTGCTCATATTAAGCATGGGGGTACTGAGAAAAATGTTACGTTCATTATAAAAATATAGTATTTTGAAGTAGTTATAATGAATATAATAATGATTAAAATAACATAGCATACTACAAAGTTGAAAGAATGCTATCTGGAAACAAATTAAAGAAACAAACAGAAGACAAATACCCAGCAATATTTTATGCTATTGAAGAACTTAATAAGAATGTAAAGTCAACAAAAGTAAATTTCAACAATGTAATGGTAAAATTGCATAACAGGATTTTTTAAGGTAGCAAATAGGGAAGTAGAACAAAATCCTAGAGCAAGAATGTTATTGTAGTTACTAGCACATGCTGAGGAGTGACACTTCCTGCATTCTAAACCTAACTCTTCCCCTTACTGTGTCACCCTGAGCAAACTACATAACCTCTGTGTGCCTTAGTCTTTCACCTATATGATGTGAATAAAAGTGCTATCTTCTGCAATTTGGCTTCTTGTGTTAAATAATAGGGTTACTGTTTAAAAAAATTACAAAAAAAAGGGCTAAAACAGATTCAGTTAAAAATTGATATAGTAGAAATATGAAAAGGCTAAAGATAATTGCAGCTAATTTGAAGAGAAGGGGTAATTAGTAAGCTAATATAAAATGACAGACTTTAAGCTTAAGATGTTAGATTAATATAAACAAATAAGTTCACTCTATTCTAAAAACCCACTACAACAATAATAAAGATTTTTTTCTTTACATAAACATGTAAGAATAATAAGAACACAAGAAGTGGAATAGTGATAACTATTGAAACTGGATCATATTAAAAAGTCTAATCTATACCCTAAAATCCTCCAAATATGCAGGAACCTAGAGGGCTCGACTGTATACCATTATCCCAGTATCAGACACACTTTCTAGGCGGGATACCAGCAAGGTACTGTTTAAGGAATCCAATTAACCCTGTAAAAAAGATCTATAGTTTCTCCCATCAGGCTTACCAAAAGTACCCTAATAAATTACTCTATAACAAAGCTCAAGGTTTACAAACTCCACTATGCATGTGATATTTTTAATTAGCATTTTAATCCCCCTCACACACATACACATCTTAATTGTAAGCTGAGAATTTCTAGACTTGTGATTAAACTTCTCATATAGAATACAGAGACCCAAATAAGCAAATAGGAAAAAAGTGACTTTCAGAAAGAAGACAGACATAATACAGAGGGAAGACAACTTTAAAAAAAAAAAAAAAAAAAAACCTCTACTTACATCATTCAAGAAATAGAAAAAGCAATTGTATTCATGAAACAAGAACAGGATGAATCAAAATAGGAATACTAAGAAGTCAATAAAGAACTTTAGAAATTAAAACATGACAGTGGTCATTTTAAAAATCCCCTTTAATCATGGAAGGAGTGGTAAGCTTGATTGAAGAGCTTTCCTAAAATACAGCAAAAAGAAGGGAAGTGCAAAGGTAAGAAAAGTGGATAACTACTCCAGTAGGTCCAATGTTTGAAATGTAGGTAACATTTCCTTAAAAGGGAACAACAGAAAAAGAAGGAAAACTGAAGATTTTTTTTTTCACCAATAGCACACGATTGTGAAATTTCAGATGCTAGAAATATGGGAAATAGATTTCACAAAATTTTAAAAAGTAAGTCAGGTACTAATGACCAAGAATCAGAATGACTGGATTTTATTATCACAACTGAAACAAAAAGAAAATGATAAATGCCTGGAGGAATTTCTCAGAAAGTTACTGGATGACATCCTCTATCAAAATGAGGGAGCAAACCCAAAACCAGTACAAAATGAAACAACAACAACAACAATAAAAAGAGATCCAAACAAGATAAAAAGGAAGGGCATATCCAGACAGTAGCGAAGGGTAAGCCTAAGGCGACCACATGGTGCCCTAGGTACAGAGGAAGCCATTTGAAATTGGAGCAGTGTGACCCAAAAGATAGGCATGGTGATGCCTTCACTTTTTATATACTTTTTAAGTACTGCAGAATAGGCTTGGCCTAAATATAGGAATACATCAATAAAAACAATGCCATGAGAGTCATTAATTAGGGACCCAGCACAGAAGAATTGCAAAGGATGCCAGCAAAAGAAGTCTTGCGGTGATGCTGAACAGTGGTCCTGCAGAGCAACTGGCCCAAAGAGAAGGATAATTGATGCTTTCAGGAACGATATTTTCAAAAGATATACGATATTATAGTTTAGCTCACATGACTAATATTGTAGTAAATAATATGGAGAGGCTAAGCTGTGAGATAATATACAGCAACACTTGATATTGGAAGACAATGATGTAGTGTCTACCAATAAATTGATCCAAGAATACTATTTCACTTTAAGTATAGAAAGGCAATAAACAATTGTTCTCAAATAAGAAAAATCTCAGGGAATAGAGTATATGTAAGCCCTTTGCAGACAGGTGGGAGGAGGAGATAATGACATTCACTTCAGTAAAAGCTAAATAAAAAATGAGAACATAAGAATTGAGAACCTGATAGAAGAACATTAATTATTTTAACTATATAAGTACTAAACACTTACAGAAATTATGATTATAGAACACAGTGTAAATATTTTGAATACAAATTAAAAAACCAATTAAAAATACTATAAGAGCACTGATGTCCTCATCTTTTAAATATCCTTTAATTTCTACTAATTGGAGTTGAATAATGTAGTTTAAAAATATAACCTGATTTCAATTTCTTCATGTTTTTCATGTATTCTAAGTTCAGGAAGATTTTATAGAAATAGCACCTCTGTGGCAAAAGAAAATTATCTGGAAGTTGAAGATTTCAGCCCTCTTACTATGACTGTTTTTTTCTTTTCTAAATGCAATCAAACTTAATATGCTAATTCTATTTTGTAAAAGCATGTATAGTACCATTTGCTTGTATCAAGTTACTTATATTTATCCAACCACCCATCTATTTAGGTAGCAAAGCACTCTCTCAGAACTCATGTATTAACAGTGGTTACTTCCAAAAATCCGTGGTAATTTATTACTTTTTTTTGTATTTGTATATATTGCTTGCCTATGTAGGTATCTTGTGTCATTGTCATAGAAAACAAGGCACTATGTTTAAATTTTATTTAAAAAGTCTCTGCATGCAGAATGCAGTGTAGAAAGTAAGCTCTTAGATAGAGCTTCAAGAATGCAAAAAATTCTTATCGCCTCCATTCTTCGGAAGAGTCGCACAAGGTGTGCAATGCATGGCAAGGGGAGGACAGCACTGTACAGAGTTTCTGTGAAACCGAGCACTTTGAGAACGTAGTCCCTGCAATGAGGTAGGACTGGAGAACAAGTTTACAGCATCGGTTAGAATGTTAGCTTTTTTTTTTTTTTTTTTTTTGAGATGGAGTTTTGCTCTTGTTGCCCAGGCTGGAGTGCAATGGCACAGTCTTGGCTCACTGCAACTTCCACCTCCTGGGTTCAAGTGATTCTCCTGCCTCAGCTTCTCAAGTAGCTGGGATTACAGGGACCCGCCATCAAGCTCGGCCAATTTCTGTATTTTTAGTAGAGACGGAGTTTCACCACGTTAGCTTTTCTGAGAGCATACCTCTCTGGAGTGTCCACCTTGTGTCCTGTTTTGAAATATGCAGAGATAGATGGAAACTAATTTAATAGGTCCCCACTGACATCAGGAGCTGTCAACATAAAACCTATTCACTAGTGAGAGAGAATATTTTTGACCTTCTCTCTAGAGAATGAAATGTTTCTGGAATGGCAAAAGGGCATCTATTCTTACAGAGATCCTGTCAATTAGAGTCTTCCTCTGACAGTACTCAGAGTATGTGAAATTCAAGAAAGTTCCTTTCTTTATCCTAAGTGTGTCCATATGGTGAGGTCACATCAGCCACACAGACAAGAAACACAGCTCCTCATTTCCATATGTTCTTTCAGGGAGACAGAAAGTTGACCAACAACCACTGAAATCCCTACGTGTTGTTACTGTGAACAAATTGCACTTGAGTTGATAATTAATGAGAGAAGTTGGACAGACTTGCACATCCCTAAGCAGAAATGCATAGGTGTGTCTGACACGCATTATCAATGCATTGTTCATATAATTGAGGTATTATGTTTTAGTTTATTTGCCTTGCCCAGTGACTGTTGTATACGACTAACCTCTACACTTCCCTTCATCATTCTACTCTTCCAATGTAAAATACACTCCTCTGCTCTGCTGCCTATCTAAAATCCTTCCCACCACCAAGGCTCTGCTGAAGTCCTGTGCACTGATGCAGTTTCTCCAACTCCAGCTTGGACTCATACCTCCCCGTCTCTGACCCTACCGTTACATCAGCCATCCGGAAACAATAGGGCTAAGTATTTGGGCTCCACAGTAAGATGGCTTGGATTTTAATCTCAGCACCATGATTTACTAGCTTTGTGACCTTCGTCAAGTTATGTGAGGTGTTTGTGTTTGTTCTCTCATCTGTAACATGTAACTAATAATGTAATTGCCACTCTAAATTGTCATGATTAAATGAGATTATACCTTGCCACTCCAATTGTCACGATTAAATGAGGTTACCGTGATTTGATGATAATTTCATGTGTGTTACCCTAATTTTCTAAAAAGGATTGCAAACTTCCTGGCGAAATCCATGTCTAATATTTAGCACAATGATAGGTACTAAGTAGATAATAAACACTGATTCATTTATTTCGACACAATGTTGTAGAAAAAAAGGACTAGACTGGAAAAGAAGAAACAAGGCTTATTTTTTCCCCTAGATAGCCACCAAAAATCTGTGATCTTGAAAAAGTCCCTGACCTTTCTAGGTTTTAATGTCCTCACTGATAAAAATAGAGCAAGTCTAAATTTGTAAGATTTGTATACGTAGCAAGTCAAGTCATCTATGAGAACTAAATAGGTGACAGTTTACATACAGGGAAAAGAAGCTAAAGAGTTCTTTTGCAATCTATTTTGTCTTAATTAAAAATTGCACTTTTCTTTCTTTCCTACAGTTAGAAAAAAAAAAATAAGCGGTCTTTACCTACTTGATAACAAAGAAAAACCTACCTCCAAAGTCAACTCCTTCTCACCAAAGAGAGTTGAGTATTAAAAAATTAAACATATGTCAAAACATGTCTTGGAGACTGTCCAGGGCAGTATGTAAAATGCTGTGAGCGTTCAGGATCTAGGCAGTAGCCTCTAACATGGTGTGTTCTGGCTATGTGTATCTCATGCATTTTTTAAGGCTCTGCTTTAAATGCAGGTTTATCAATAAAAATGCCACCAGAAAACAGCTTTGAAATTTTAATATCTTCCTGAAATAAAAGATTTCCTCAAGGCAGGTCTGAAATTGGTTGTGTCTGAACGCCATCCACTTTCATTATACAAGGATTTTCTTACAGCTGCTAAATCCTAATTTTGCAAGAAGTTAAAAGAAAAAAAATGCAGCTCTGCACCTCTCATCATCAAAAGCAGCATAATTTAAGCCTTTATTGTGTCAGTCATGAATTGTCTCTCCTGTAAGCTCACAATGTCATAATATTCTTTTAGATTAATGAGGATCCCTACAATTACAGAGTAGAGACCGTCATGGTGCACGGCAGTGCCTGTCTAATGGCAGAAATTACCGTGAATGCTAATGCGTTAGCCAAGATTGTAAGAGGAATTACTGCTGTCACCAAATCCAAAGGATCTACAGCTGAAAGATAGACAAATCTGTTATCTCTCAAAGTCATTGGGAGAAGGTGAATTACCACAGGGGACATTTTTATTCCTTTTATACATATAATAAGCAATACTTTAGACTGCCTCAGAAATTAGCAAAGAGGCTTCTTTTAGGGCTTTAATGTGCTACAGAATACAATGCCTTTACTAACTAGTTTGTGCACACAGAATTGAAAGATGTGCATGATTCTCTCATGTAAACTCAGCACAGTTTCCTCATCTCTGAAACTTGGGTCATTGTAGTGCTTGCCACATGTGGTATAGATTCTGAATGGAAATCTAGAATGAGAAACTTTGTCCTGGGCTCTCTTTGTTCTAACTCATCTTCTATTCTGCTCCTTTTAAAGATAAATATGAACATTTCACTCTTCTGTTTTACACCCATGGACAAAGTTCAAATTCTCTAGAGCACGGTACTGAGTTATCTACAAGTCACCTCTGCAGCCTCACTTCTTCCAGAAACTCCATGCTCTAGACATTGTATGACACTTCCTTCTTTCCTCCGTGTCTTTATGCATGCTGTTTTAACACCTAATAGCCCGTGTCTGACCTGACATACGCCATTGCTTTTGCGACTCTATCACTGACTCCATTTTCCCTTAAGCATCCACTCTCATGATGCTCACTACATTGGATTAATATGGTTGGTATCTGTCATTGTTTTCTCTATAAAACTGCTCTGTCCAATGCAGCAGCTCCCGGATACATGAAACTATTTATATTTAAATTAATTAAGATGTAATAAATAGAACAATCCAGCTTTGCGGTTGCACTAGCCATGTTTCAATACTCAATAGCCATGCATGGCTAATGGCTACCAAGTTAGATGGTGTAGATATGAAACATTTCCACTATCATAGAAAGTTCTGCTGAATCATGCTGCTTTAGAAGGTGAGGTTGCAGACTGTTCTGTGTCTCTTACTGTCTAAGCATAACTACAGAAGAACATCTACTATAGTATCTACTATAATGACTTGGATAGTGGCCCCCAAAAGATAGCTGAAGTCCTAATTCCCAGGTCCTGTGAATGTGACCTTATTTGGAAATAGGGTCTTCGCATAGTAATTAAGTTAAGGATCTTAAGATGAGAGCACCCTGGGTTTATGGTAGGTCCCTAATCTAATGTCCTTATAAGAGAAAGAAAGAGACAGTTGAAACAGACACAGAAGAGAAGGCCATGTGAAAATGGGGGCAGAGATTAGAGCAATTCATCCACAAGCCAAAGAATGCCAAGGATTGCCAGCAACCATCAGAAGTTAGGAGAGGAACACATTATCCCTCAGAGAGCCCAGAAGGAACTAACCCTGCTGACGCCTTGATTTCAGATTTCTGGCGTCCTGAACAGTCAGAAAATAAATACCTTTTGTTTTAAACAATCCAGTTTGTGGCAATTTGTTACTGCAGCCCCCAAATCTCTATCCCTTCATAAGCAAGAAATATGTTAAAGACACTGTAGTTGCGATAGAGGGAATTGAATGTAGGGAATCAGCTATGCAGAGGATAAAAGTTGCTGAGTCAAACGAGGAGCAATGAGACATTTAGAGATTAGCAGTAGCAGGAAGACATTACCATGCTAGGCTGGAGAGAGGAACAGATGAATGGGGTGGAAAGTTTCTGAGGAGTTTCCAGAGCCAGGGGCTAAGAGCACCTGCCTCAAGTGGGCACATGGCAAACCTGAAGCCATGGAGCACGTGCTCTGACCTTAATAAAATAGGACAAACTCTGAAGAAACTGACATGATCACATATTATTTCAATAGACTTGGTATAAAATAGATTATCCCAACTAAAGATTACAAAAATATTTTCTTTTTTGTCCCTCCTACTTAATTCCTCACTAACTGAAGATTAAATGCTTGGTTTTTTTTTTCTCTGATTTCTCCAAGTTTTCCTAAATTCAATTCAGAGTACATTTCTCACCACCTCAGAACATTCAGAGCATAATATAGGCCTGATTTTCTTTTCAAATAATTACTCTTTAAAAAAATGCTTTCTTTTTCTGCATACTCAGTCCCTGGTCAGTTCTCCTGTGGCCTGCCTGACCTCATGCTTTGGAACTTGATGTCCATCACCCATCATTGCTTTGCTGATCTCCATATGACAGCTCTGGCTTATACGAAATCACCTTACTTTTTACCCCACTGTGGTCCCCTTTAATATGACCATTTTCATACATGAAAAATTCTTTGTATGCTTTTCTGGCAGAGATCTTTATTTGTGCTCTGAGATACTCTTCTCATAATTGGCCTCCCTTTGCAACTTTAAATACCCCAAAGCTCTTATTTTCTTTTAAAATGGCTTTTGTGACTACAGAGAAGGGCTTATTTAGGCAAGTGTTAGGGGAAGAGAATGTTTTTCTTCCATCCTTCTATCACCCTAATCTATTGTAATTGTCTAATGTGGTGAACCGTTTGTATGTGGAAGTGATGATTTTAAACTCAGAGGATGTGTGGTAAGATTGGGAATTATCTCAGCTTAATGATGAGTTAGTGGTGAATGCAGTTATGAAGAATCTGGAGTCTGGAGACAGATGGCTGTGGGTTGCAATCCATCTCTGACATTTGCCTGTCCTGGGATCTTGGGCAACTCCCTCTCTATGTCCAATGTACCAGTTTCCTCATCTCTGATATACGCATAATTAAAATGCCCATCACCTATGTTGCTTAAACTACATAATATTTATAAAACATATAGAACATAGTAAGTGGTCAGTTATTATCTATCATATTGTTAGTGTTATTGTTGTTATCAGGAACTGGGCAAGAACTATGGGTGGTGAAGGGAAGAGGTAAGTTGTAGAAATATGATGAAGACTACATTTGGAAGGACAGGAAAGTCATGAAGGATGTGCAAGGCAATGCCCTGAGCAGAGTTTGGTCCTAGGATATAATCATCAAAGCCGTCTAAATGAAGCATGTGGAAGGCATTGCACGGGGCATTTTCTTATACATTGTAACATTCAATCCTCACTGCAAGCCCATGAGACAAATCTTCACACCTTTGTTTCACACATGAAGAGACTGAGGCTCAGAAAAATGAAATATGACCCAACAGAAAACATGAGGCTTTGGATCCAAGCAGACACGACTTTGAATCCCATCTCGGCCATGTACCAGTCATGCTATGTTGTAGAAGTTACATTACTTTTAAGAGCCATAGATTTTTCATCTGTAGGATGGCAATAATACTACTTACCCTGCAGAGTTTTGTAAAAGTTCAAGATGCATGTATAAGCCCTCTGAACAGTGCTCCATGCGCTATTGGCTTTCAATAAATGGCAGTTACTTTTATCTTTGTGTGATTATAACCAATAATAGATAAGCTAGTCTATCTAGTGTGCTGGCTAATGGGAGATCAGTCACTCCTAGGCTGCCAGGGTTTTGAACTTTATCTTCATAGGATCATACTTATAATCATGTTTCTTCCTTGCTAGAAGAAAAGCTTCACGAGAACAGGAACTGTATTTATCTTGCTCAACACCCTGTCTCCAATGCCTATCTAGCACATTCAGATGCTGACAATTATTGGCTATCTAACTGGCTGACTTTCAGAGCAGTGTTCTGGTCAGAAAGGAATGTCATCGGCAGGATGGCTGTAGAAGGAGCTGAGCATGAAGAAATGCTCAGAGCGATCATCAGCATTCTTGGGAACTGCTGGACATCTTCCACTATGAGCAAAAATGCAGAGATTTCAGAGGAAGAAACTGTGCACATAAATGTCAAGGAAATCGGACCTAAGAGATCCATCTGGCAGTGTTAGTGTATACTCTAAGGTGATTTGTAGAATTTGTTTACAGTCCTTGATTTCTTCCATCTTTCCTCTCTATGTGTAGGTCTAGCTCAAAAGTTTATCACTCACACCACATCATGTTTCTACTCTCAGGGAGGTTTTCTGTTCCCTTAGGTATAATTTGCAATCCCACACAGGAAATATCTGCTACACAACAAATGCTATATCATATGTTTGTGTCTTTAGGGAGTCGACTGAGAGAGAACTGAAATTTACAGCTGACACTAACCAAGCAGGCTCTACCTCCAATACCTAAATAAAGGCTCTGCAATTTCTACCTGCAATTCATTAGTTTCCACATTTACAGTATTTTACAGGAAAAGAAGTGCACTCCTTATAAGCAAGTGGATATATAACCTAGTTTAACTTGGGTGGTCTTAGTTTGCCTGCAATAGTAGCAGTTACCCTTGCTATTCTAGACTAATTATTAATGATGCCCCCTTTTAAGAGTATACCAGTCAGAATGATAAAATACATGGTCCCCTTATTTACGGGATAATTTATTTACAATTAGGACATTTCAACACCATTCTAATTTATCCCTCTCATACCCTAATATCAGACCCTATGAATGTCTCTTTTTTGATCTTCACCCCAGCTAGTACTTATCCATAGCACTGCACTTAATCTGCACACACTGGAATACCCATAGGCCTCCTCCAGGGCTGCACACCTGCCCATCCATCCTTGTCCATTCTTTTTCTACATCTTTTCCAACATCTCCCATATTTTTTCTATATTGACCCTCTCTGACAATGTGTTATAGTAGCTTTTGTTGGTACCATACCATTTGCTTTTGATTACACATAATTTGTCATTTTTCTCTAATTGTGTTTTCCCAGTCAGTTTGCAAACTTCTCAACAACTTAGAATGATTCATGCATTTTGATCCTATTTCTCTTTTTTTTTCATAATATGGCACTGGTTTCTCAACAAACATGGATTGAGGAACCAGAAGAATTAGAAGGACATTTGAGACTAACAGTCTAGCTTTCTCATTTGAAGAATGAGAAAATGTATTCAGATATGCCGAGAGGTTAACTCAGAGTTTACCAGTGAAAGACCTTAGCTTAGAATCCTGTTCTCCAAATTTTTAGTCGAATACTTTTTCCACTATACAATTCTGTCTTTTTTAATATTATTAACCAATTTAATTATTTAATACATGTTTTCAAAGATGAAAGCATGTTTATCTTTCAATTTCTCAGAAAGAGACTCAGTGCCTGAAGCCCAAAGCAAACAGGCAATGAGACCAGCTTCATAAGTAAACAAACAAGAATAATGAAGTCTGAAGTCAATAGTTTCAGCTCACTCACATAGTCCAAGTACATTCTCAACAGCTGCCTAGTACCTAGAATTCTGCAATTTAGAGTAGCATTCTTTCAATGTAAATCTTACTATTCTACTAAAGTGTCTTATGAAATATAGCTAATTAAACCTCAATCTGCATTGATATGTGGTTATTTTGATTTATTAAATTCCTAAGACTGAAATTTTGAAAAAGTGGAGAAAAAATAAATCAAAATAACATTAGGCTTCTGTTGACAGTAGGAGAAAATGATTCTCTAAGGAATCAAAAGAATATCAAATTTGGGGAGGGGGGTCTGGACATATGGATAGCAACTCAAGGAATTTATAAATGGGTTCAACTCTGAAAATAATGATCCATGGTTTCTAAAGAGAAACTATCTTTTTTACTGTATTGATTTCTGAGATGAGCATATTTTTCTTTGTTAGAATGGGTTTTCTTATTTTTATAACTGTTTTCCTAAAAAGGAAGAATGCATAAGTTTGAAGTATCTTCTAGACCAATTTAGAATTAGCAAGGGGATGACCCAGTAACAAAATGCCTGAAGTTAAGTAAATAAACAAACATTTGACACTTCCATTTTTAGAAAGCCTTGCAAGCAAATGACCTGGGAAATGACGTGGGAACGATTAATAAACTTTGGGAACAGCAAATTTCTGAGATATTTAATAAACCATGAAAGAATATACCAAGCCACAGAATCAGGATGTGGGGAAAAAATGAGAAGAGAAAAGTCTAAAGTAATAGGCAACATTTGTTTCTAGCCTTCTCCTTTTATGGAATGGCCCACATCATTTGTCTTTTTCCTTCATCTATTCAGTAGATACTGACCTCTCTTTCAATATGTGGCAGACACTGGAGTTGCCTACTGAATGCCTTTTCCTCATTAATAAAATCCAAATTTTGTTCAAATATCTGTTGTGTAGGGGAGGCATTCTGTTAAGGTGAGGTGGGCTCAGGTTCAAGAGATGATTCATGCTTACTCTGAGTCACTCTTGGGAGTTCTGTTCCCTGATGAATTTGAGAAGGGCATATGGCAGGGTATTTGCCAATGGAACATGAGGGAATATTTAATAAAGAGGTTTCTGGGGAAGATTTTCTTCCTCATTCGAAAGAGCAAAGTACTGGAAGACATTCTCCCTTCCTTCCTGCCTTTTAACCTTGGCTCATGAAGATGTGATGTTTGGCGCTGTGGCGACCATCTTATCATTTGAGGAGAAAGGCAGGAGAACGACAATAAAAATTCTCCCTCCAGAATTCTGGCTTGATATAGAGTAAGTTTAGCTCCACCTGGCAAGTCTTTGTTTAGAAGAAAAAAGAACATGTGAACCTTGAAAGTTCTGCCCATATTAGGCATATGCCAGTCTTCTGCATAAATCCTTCAGTGAATTCCTGAATCTGGAAGAAAAGCCAATGCTTCACCATGGCCTGATAGACCCTATGTGATCTGGTGCCAGTTATCAGTCTGATCTCGGCTCTCATTTGCTTTTCTCTTGTTCACTCTAGCTCAGCTAAGCTGGATTCCTTTGCAGTCCCAGAGAGCAAAGCTTAGTGCTTCTACATTTGCTATTACAGATGCCTGTATGGCTTCCTTTCTCCCTTACAGCAATAGAAGCCTTTCCCCTAATTCTCCTAGTCAACTACTTACTTTTTAAAAATTCTCTTATCCTGATTTTTTTTCAAAACTCATCAATTGACATCAGATATGTATATGTGTGTGTGGGTGTGTACACTTCAGAGATGTTACAGGTTTAGTTCCAGACTACCAAAATAAGGCAAATAGCACAATAAAGCAAGTTATACACATTTTTTGGTTTCCCAGTGCATGTAAAAGTTATGTTTACACTATAGTCCATTAAATGTGCAATAACATTATGTCTAAAGAGCAACGTACATACCTTAATTAAACATAATTTACTATTAAAAAATGCTAACAATAATTTGAGCCTTTGGCAAGTCAATCTTTTTGCTGGTGGAGAGTCTTACCTTAATGTTGATGGCTGCTGACCGATCAGGGTGGTGGTTGCTGAAAGTTGGGTGGCTATGACCATTTCTTAAAATAGAAAATAATAAAGTTTGATACAGCTACTGACCCTTCCTTTCATGAAAAATTTCTCTGTAGCATATGACATTGTTTTGTCACAATTTACTCACAGTGGAATTTCTTTCAAAATTGGAGTCAATTCTCTCAAACTGTGCCACTCCTTTATCAACCAAGTTTATGTAATACTCTATATCTTGTGTTGTCATTTCAACGATGTTCACAGCATCTTCACCAGGAGTAAATTCCATCTCAAGAAACCACTTTCTTTGCTCATCTCTAAGAAGCAACTTCTCATCCATTCAATTATCTTGAATGGATATCTCAATCCCTCTATTATCTTGAGACTGCAGCAATCCAGTCACATCTTGAGGCTCCGCTTTTAATTCTAGCTCTCTTGCTCTTTCTACGACATCTGAAGTTCCTTCTACCACTGATGACTTCAACCCCTCAAAGTCATCAGGAAGGTTAGAATCAGCTTTCTCCAACTCCCTTTTAATCTTGATATTTTAACTTCTTCCCATAAATTGTGAATGTTAACAGCAGCTGTAGTCTTACAAAAACATTTCTTAAATAATAAGACTTGAAGGTTGAAATTATTCTTTGATCCAAAGAATTATTCCTTGATTCCTACAGAATAGATGTTGTATTAGCATGCAGGAAAACAACATTAATTTCCTTGCATATATCCATCAGAACTTTTGGGTAACTAGGTGCATTGTCAATTAGGAGTAATATTTTTAAAAAAATATTTATTCTGAGCAGTAGGTTTCAATAGTGAGCTTAAAATATTCAGTAAACCAGGCTGTAAACAGATATGCTGTCATCCAGGCTTTGTTTTTTCCATTTAGAGAGCACAGGCAGAATAGATTCAGCACAATTCTTAAGGGCCCTAGGATTTTCAAAATGATAAATGATCATTGGCTTCAACTTATTGCATTTGCCCCTAACAAGAGAGTCAGCATGTCCTTTGAAATTTGAAGCTAGGCATTGACTTCTCCTCTCTAGCTATTAAAGTCCTAAATGGCATCTTCTTCCAATACAAAGCGTTTTGTCTATATTGAATATTTCTTGTTTAGTGTAGCCATGTTCATCAATTATCTTAGCTAGATCTTCCAGATAACTTGCTGCAGATTCCATGTCAACACTTGCGCCTTACCTTGCATTTTGATGTTATGGAGATAGCTTGTTTCTTTAAACTTCATAAACTAGAAAAAAAAAAAAAAAAAGGAAAAAAAAGCCCTCATGAACAAACCTTTGCTAGCTTCAAACTTTTCTTCTACAGTTTCCTCACCCCTTTCAGCCCTCATAGAATTGAAGAGAGTTGGGGCCTTGCTCCGGATTAGGCTTAGGCTTAAAGGGAATGTTGTGACTGGTTTGATCTTCTATCTGGACCACCTACATTTTCTCCATATCAGCAGTAAGACTGTTTCACTTCGTTATCATTTGTGTGTTCACTGGAGTAACACTTCTGTTTTCCTTCAGGGACTTTTCACTGCATTCACAACTTGGTTAACTAGTGCAAGAGGCCTAGCTATTATATCAGCCTATTTCAGCTTTCAACATGACTTCATTAAGCTAATCATTTCTAGCTTGTGATTTAAAGTGAGAGACATATGACCCTTCCTTTCACTTAAACACATAGAGGAAATTGTAAGGTTATTGACTGGCTTAATTTCAGTATTGCTGTGTCTCAGAAAATAGGGAGGCCCCCCAAAAAAAGAGAGAGATAGAGGAATGGCTGGTCAGTAGAGCAGTCAGAAAACACAGTATTAATAGGTGAAGTTTGCCATCATACATGGCATGGTTCATGGTGCTTCAAAATAATTACAATAGGCCAGGTGCAGTGGCTCGTACCTATAATCCCAGCACTTTGTGAGGCTGAGGCGGGAGGATCACTTGAGGTCAGGAGTTCAAGACCAGCCTGGCCAAAATGGTGAAACCCAATCTCTACTAAAAATACAAAAATTAGCTGGGCATGGTGGTGGGTTCCTGTAATCCCAGCTACTTGGGAGGCTGAGGCAGAAGAATCACTTGGAACTGGAAGATGGAAGTTGTAGCGAGCACAGATTGCACGACTGTGAGATTCTGTCTCAAAGAAAAAAAAAAACAATAGTAACATCAAAGATCAATGAACACAGATCACTATAACATATAATAACTATGAAAATATCTGAAATACTGCACGAATTCCCAAAATGTGACACAGAGACATGAAATGAGCATGTGCTGTTGGGAAGCTGGTGCTGATAAACTTGAATGCTATAGGGTTGCAGCAAACCTTTAATTTGCAAAACCACAATATCTGCAAAGTGCAATGAAATGATGTACGCCTGTGTATATATGTAGATAGAGAGATTTACTGTTTGTCTCCTCACACTATCATAAAAATCCATAAGATTAAGGCCTTTGTTCATTGATAAATTATTCCAAGTGCCTAGAAGAATGCACAGCTAGGAGTAGCTACCAATATGTTTGTTGAAGGAATCAATCAATAAGAATTGTTCTGCCACTCATAACTTGACTAAGTCCACAATTTTCAGAACCTATTTTCCAGCCACTGAAGACTCCTCTAGCCAGGGGTAATTAGGTCAGTAAAGACAGTTTCCCACTCTCTTGCCTTCCTCCTTTCTGTTCTCCTGATCTAAGGAGTAGGATGGGGAGAAAGGAGCAATAATGCCACATACATTAAGGAGGTTCAGGTCTCTGCATCATTTTACTTTTGATTCTATTTGCTACTAGCCTGTGGGTAAAAGAATCAGCTGCAAAGAAAATAATAATAATAATAAAAGTAATTGGTGCTTTGTAATTCTGTCCTGAACCCGTACACTTACTTCTTCTCCAGGGCAGATTCTAGCCCTTTTCAGTCACCACTTGGGCTGCTATGTCTCTCCATGATCCAACATGTGGGCCAAAATCCCAAATTATGACAAAACCCATCAATCATGCTTGTTAGAGGCCACAAATTCAATTCCTCATTGTTACATTCAGTGAGGTAGTTACTTTAGATTTTACTCATATTGCAGTATGTTCCTTCAGTACTAAATAAAACTCAGATAAGCGTTATGGGCTAGGTTAATCACATCAGAATTACAACTGCCCTCTAATTCTGACCCTTTAATAACTGAACAAAGTCTGGGTAACTTGACTTCGTCTTCTCCAAGGTTTCTTAGTCCCATATATCAGAAGATCTCTGAGACTATTTTGTCAATCTGATTTCCAAGACAGAACCACACAGCTCTGAATATTAAAGTTAGAACAGTGAATTGTCAAGCAAGGACTCTTCCTGCAGGGATATGTCGAAATGTCTTGAATCCTCAATGATTCGCTGGGAAAATATCAGAAACACACAGAAATCATTTCGACTAGTTAGAGTCACCAGTGGAATAGGGTTCCACTAAAGGAAAAGTTCATCTCAGAAAATGTAATCAGCATATTTAAGAAATGTTTGGTTTGGGTTAGATGAAATCTCTGATTAACCAAGGAATTCAAGCCATGAGAACTCCCAAAGATAAAATAAAACTCTATCTTGTTTTAACCCATGTCTTCCAAACATAGTTGACCACAAAACACTTTTTTTCTTTCACACATGGGAAATACCAAGTTAGGCTATTTTCTTGGCTTTGTAGGGACACCAAAAATAATGTAATCATCCTTCGATGACTAAGGAAAATATGGCTGTAGAGTCATCATTTGTAGGTATTGATAATTATACAATTATACAGCTATACATTTTAAAGTGTGGGAGAATGAACAGAATCCATAATAATCTCAGGGCATGCTATGAAAGCTACTTTTTAAAATAAACACTTAAAATCAATTTTCATTTTGAGGTCTTGCCGATTCTCTTAAAATTCAATCACAACAGTAATGATTTAGAATAGGCTAGATTCTAGTTAACCAAGATTGTACTTTCAATGGTATCTTAGCATCTTGCCACATTACATGTAAACAGGTGTGTTAATTCATATACAGAATAACACCCATTTTTTAGAATAAGGATTCTGACATCTATAAATCTATAAAGTATATTTATAGATCTCCAAGGGAAGGCTGCCATAATGTAAGAAAAAGTCTAAGACAAATATTCGTAAAGGGAAACACTATAGCCTATAGATATTGTATCGGTACTTATTTCAAAAGTAGTCAGTTAGACAGTAACAACTGGACATTGCTGACTTTGCTGGTATATCCTGGCAGAAAGTTAAACTGTCTCCCTCTAAAACTACCTATCTTCACACAAGCTTAGCCTCTTGATTCTTCTCCATAGGGTTCAGAAACGCTATTTCTGAAAACTCGATGTATGTCCCTGGAGCCACTTTCATTGAAGCTTGCACACTTGAATGCTACTGACTGATCTAATTTTGTAAAGTGGATAAACTCCAGAGGGATGTGATAGATGTTGTTCATTACACATAGGTAGGTTTGGGCAAAAATCATTGATTTTGAAATACCAAGATTTTTTTCCTGGTACCCCAAGGAAGTCTTCTAGAACCAATAGAAAACTTGTAGACAGAAATACAAGTAAAAGAGTCCACCCATTTGTATGCAGAGGCTCGGAGCCAAATTTTCAATTCCCCTTTAATAATTATATAGGATTTTCTGGTATTCATTTTGATTATTAACTTTAATTCATTTATTATTATCTTTCTGCCATTACATAGATCTGCTTACTTGTTCTGTTCTATCATATTCTATGTGCATAATATCAATCTTTTCATATCATTTAATATATGATTAGGGGACAAAACTACTCCTGATCACAAAAGGCCCTGCTCTATTTTGATTGTTCTATATTCAAGTAACAGGGAAGTGCTTTAAAATAAGTACTTACAAAATCCTTATGATGCATTCCATAAAAAATTTACAAGAATCATCTCTGTTTTAAATGACTTGTATTCTCTTTTGGGTGCATAATATACTTCTATAGATCCAGCTCAACACACATTTCTTATCAATTACTGTAGTAGGCAATGAGGGAGATAAACATTTGCTAAGCTTGTCATGTATATCGGGTACTTAACATGCTTATTTTCATTTAGTTTTCAAAACAACCCCTGGAGATAAATAATATGGTTTTCATTTTTAAAATTAGGAAACTGAATCAGAGAAGTTAAATAATTTACAAAATCACTGAGCTCAGTTTCTAGTTATAAACAACTGGGATGGAAACTGTGTGAACTCCACAGCTCAAGCTCTTTCTCTTAAATTCACTGACAGTGTGGGCCAGTATACTAGGGACAGACTTCATGGAAAGAAGTGGGATTTGAGCTGAACTTTAAAAAATGAATGACATTCAGATAGGTGGGAAAAAGTCAAGAGGACTAAAAGTAAGGAGATGTATATGGGCAGAGTCATAGAGATGGAATAAGCATAGCACATGTGGTGATCACGAGGAAGTTCCTCTTTGCGCAGAGAAGATTCAATTTTGGACTCAACGTAATGGGGACTTATGATTCTAGGATTAATTTAATGTTATGTTAATACACCACCAATCATAGATGACAGAGAAGAAACAGCAAATTGATGATAATAATAATAGTTGTGATTACTCACTGAGTACACATTCTTTAACAAGTAGTACACCAGGCACATGCACCATTTTATGTAATCTTCACAACAGTGGAAAAGGGAGTACTATTACACGTACTTTATAGTTGAGAAAACTAAAATTTAAAAATTAACAACTTAATCAGGGTCACATGGAGAGCAAGTCACTAAGCTGACCTGTCCCATAGGATGATCTCACAGTGTGAGTTGACTTTCCAGAGCTACATCAAAGAGATGGAGCCAGACACAAGTGAAATTCCAGTTGTCAAAATATGGTGGGGTTGCAGAAATAGTAAATAACACTCATGAAGAGAATTTAGAGAACTTTGGCAATTTCATAGTAAGTAAAATTTAATGTCTTTTATACATTAAGAAAGGAACACATGGACATAGGAAGGGGAACATCACACCCTGGGGACTGTTGTGGGGTGGGGGGAGGGGGGAGGGATGGCATTAGGAGATATACCTAATGCTAAATGACGAGTTGATGGGTGCAGCACACCAGCATGGCACATGCATACATATGTACCTAACCTGCACATTGTGCACATGTACCCTAAAACTTAAAGTATAATAATAATAATAAAAAAAGAAAATGTGGCACATATACACCATGGAATACTATGCAGCCATAAAAAATGATGAGTTCATGTCCTTTGTAGGGACACAGATGAAATTGGAAATCATCATTCTCAGTAAACTATTGCAAGGACAAAAAACCAAACACCGCATGTTCTCACTCATAGGTGGGAATTGACCAAGGAGAACACATGGACACAGGAAGGGGAACATCACACCCTGGGGACTGTTGTGGGGTGGGGGGAGGGGGAAGGGATAGCATTAGGAGATATACCTAATGCTAAATGACGAGTTAGTGGGTGCAGCAAACCAGCATGGCACATGTATACATATGTAACTAACCTGCACATTGTGCACATGTACCCTAAAACTTAAAGTATAATAATAATAAAATAAAATTTAAAAAAAAAAAGAAAATTGGACCAGGTGTGGTGGCTCACACCTGTAATCCCAGCACTTTGGGAGGCTGAGGTGGGTGGATCATCTGAGGTCGGGAGTTTGAGACCAGCCTGACCAACATGGAGAAACCCCATTTCTACTAAAAATACAAACTTAGCTGGGCATGGTGGCACATGCCTGTAATCCCAGCTACTCAGGAGGCTGAGGCAGCAGGATCACTCGAACCCGGGAGGCAGAGGTTGTGGTGAGCTGAGCTCGCGCCATTGCACTCCAGCCTCAGCAATGAGTGAAACTCCACCTCAAAGAAAAAAAAAAAAAAAAGAAAAGAAAGAAAACTGAGGTCTAAAAAGGTTAATTGTCCATACCATAGGTCAAACCAGGAACTTAATACTATTTGCTGCCAATCGACTATTGTTTCCCTTATCTTAATGCTGAATTAAAATACTAGTTTGGAAATATTGCCTCCCTCACCTTCCCTCACTTATTTTTGCTGTTTTGGCAAAAATTACAGAGTTCAACAAAGTTGTGGGTATCTCTTGCAAATTCCATGTAAATTCCAACACAGATGTGTTGCCTGTTACTATCAAATTAATATATTTTGTGACTGTGTTTATTAAATAAATCACAGTAAAATTTTGATGTCTTTTCTCCAGAAAGATATATTACACAGATTGTAACGTTGAGATATATTTTGCTAGTTTGATGTTTAATATTTTAAATGAAAAAATTGTGAGAACTACCTAGTGAATTTGCTTCAAGTGGGAAAACCAAATTATGGTTGGATGATGTGATTAATAATAACATCTGGGCCAGGAGAGGAAATTACTACTGTCACAGCACCTCTCCTCTTTGAAATAGAAATCCAATGGCAGAAATTCTTATTAGTCAATTTCCCCCAAAAGCAGGGATCCAGGCAGCTATTTGGAAAATAAAATGAAATATAAGCTAATAAAAATAAAAAGAGATATCTCACAAACAAATGGGTAAAACTAGTATGGGTTAATATCTGAATATTTAAATACTGTTTAGGGAATAGAAAAGCAAAATAAAGAGAAGGAGAAAGTGTGGAGAGAAAAAGAAAAAAAATATATATATAGGTCAATCTGCTACAGTTTCAGTGAATGAGTCCCTCCAAAATTCGTACGATGGAAACTTACAACCCAAGGTGATGGTATTAAGAGGTGGGGCCTTTGGGAGTGATTTAGTTGTGAAGGCTCTGCCACTGTGAATGAATAAAGGGCTGAGGGGAAGTCGCTAGGCCTTTTTGCCCTTTCCCTTCCTCCATGTGAGGACAGGGCAACAAGCCGCCATCTTGGAAGCAGAGATGGGGCCCTCGCCAGACATCAAACCTGATGGCACTTTGATCTTGGACTTTCAGTTTCCAGAATTGTGAGAAATAAATTTTTATTTATTATTAATTTCTGTTCTTTATTAATTCTTCATTAATTACCCAGTCTCAGATATTTTGTTATAGAAGCAGGAATGGACTAATACATAATCCAAATATCATTTTACCCTGTACCCTTCATGATATTCATTTTTAGGTGTGCCACAGTTCTTTCTTCTAGAAAAGTACTTTTTATACATATTATCTTGGAATAATTACCAATAACATCCATTTTAACTCTGCAGAGTTCATCAATTTGGTTTATGAGTTACGTGATCACCCTCCTTATTTTGCATGAACTCCAGTGAAACATAAAATAGATATAGAAAGCACTTGGAATTTCAAAGGAGTCCAATCACCATCCCTGCCATAGAGAGAGAAAAATGTAATTAGGAAGGATGAAGATGACAGCAAATCTCTAGTCCTCACAGGTCATTTCAATGGTAACATTGAGGAACAGTACACCTATCAGTTTCATTGCCACAATTTCTTAATTGCCATCATAATTTGAGGGGAAATGTTTTGAGTTCATAATGTTAGAAATAAGTAATTTTCATACTTCTATTTTAAGAACAAGAAAATATTATACAATTTTGGTCATTTTACTAGGGTGGGGAAAATCCGTGCTAAAAAGGTAACAATTGGGCCTTTTTTACATTTTCTAGGGAAAAGAAAGTGGTCGATTTAGGAAAGTGGATGTGGATTCAGGAAGGCATGAGACTAGGGAAAAAGAAAAAGCTGAGGTAAAAAGGCAGATTAGGACCTAAAGTAAGAATTATGTAAAAATATATGACACAAACCAAAGGGGCTATTTTAAATGTTTTACCAAATCTGTAGAGTAAGTCCAGACATTATTATATTCTATCATATCATATTAATTATATTTTATATTACATTTATTATCTTAAATTATATTGTACTCTGACTGGATTATTGACCATGAGATCTCTTCTAGGAATCTTCTAAAAAGAGCTGCACCCTTGGACAAGCAGAATAATAGTGGATGTTGTGAAGGAAGGTTGTTGAAGAAGAAAGAAAAAGCCATGAGGAGCAGTTTTTTAATATGAATACCATTTTTTTAATGAGGAGGGGAGAGGTGGTGGCTGTGAAAAATGACCCCAAACAAGCCAACAAACTGAGAAACAGCTGGGGCAGTCCCATTTCAGAATAGCCCTAAAGGTGCTGTTTAATTACAGATCATTATGCAAATACATTCTAACTAAAAGGAGCTTAACATTTCAGTTTCTCTCATGTTAACCACACCAAATGGTGGGCACAGCTGGAAGGTGACTGTCATCCAGGAGACAGCCTTTTACTTAGTCTTTAAATACTACCACAGAGGATTGCTCAAGTAACAATTATTAGCCACCACTCTAGAAAATTCCTAGACAGAAGTAGATAGATTTTGATCTTTCTACCTCCTGCACTATATCCTAGGGGCCTAATAAAATACCTTAGAAAGCCAACTAGTAGAATACTTAAGAGCATGAGCTTCAGAGATAGAGACCTAAGCTCTAATTTCTCCTCTGCTGAATTCTGGCAATCTGATTTTGTCTAACATAGCACAAATTCTCAGATTTTATCTCCCCGTTTATGAAATAATTCTAAGGTCATTGTGAATATGAACTAAATATAGATAAGACCCTTAACCCAACGCCTATATATAATAAACACTCAAGAAATGATAGCTATTAGTTTGAAAACAATCTTTAATGCTGGTACTTTATTACATCAGAGTAATTTCATATTGCACTTGGGAAATATCCAAACCCTCAATGAGTTGTCCCTTTATGCCTGTCACCTCACATGACTACCATTCCAGCCCCATCTCTGGCCACTCTTTCCCTCAATGAGCCATGCTGGTTTTCTTCCTGTTTCTTAAGTATAATAAATTCTTTCCCCATTTCAGGGTCTTCGCCCTGTCCTATTCTTCTCAGGCCGAGTCCTTGGCCATTCTTTCTGGAGAGGTCATACCCATCCTTCAATTCTTATCTACATGTCACTTTCCCAAAGAGGTTTGGGTTTCCCTCACTGCAGCCTCTCATTACACATCATAGTTCTTCTTCATGGCATTCATCAATTTGTAAAAATACATATAATATTTTATTAGAATTGGCTTTTCAACATACACCTCTCCTGCAAACCTCTAAGTTCCAATAAATCCAGGACTTTGCCCTTCTACGCACCACTGCATCCCCAGTGCTGAAACAGTACCTGGCATACAGTATGGCCTTTACAAGTGTTTGCTACCTCAGCAAGCTGACTGACCCAGGTTGCTGAAGCATCATGCAGGGAAACATTTAGTTCTAGCTTTTGTGGTGTGAAAGAGTCACTACAGTTTCCAAGTGCCTGAGTAGATTATGCAGGCTCAGAAAAAAACAAAGTAGATTTAATTGTGTTTCAGACAAAGCACACTCCAGGTATCCAATTATTAAGACTTCAGGTATTGTTGCTTTTGTGTGTTTAATAAATTTAGCAATTTTATTATCTTACTAATCAAAAAATACCACAAATATTTTTATGTTTATATACTTTACACAATAGTTTCTCTGCTTAAATATGTATATGTCAGTGTGTGTGTGTGTGTGTGTAAAGAGAGTGTGTACATATAAAGCTCTTATTAAGTCACCAAAATAAATAAGAAAGTTGGCAGTTTCCATCACATTTATTTTTCTCTGAAGAGTATAAAACATCTCCCTTCTGTCCTATTCTGTTCAAAGCACACTGTGGCTCTGCATAAACATTTTATTTAATCAGCATTAGAGTTGTATGACACGTACCAAGCTATAATGCACTTTTATATAGCTTCATTTTCTTTGTTTCATATAAATGGTCCATGTGGAAGAGAGTGTTCTTACTTTTCATTACCAAATGCCATGTATATTGTAATAAAGAACACAATCTTGAACACATTTCCAGAGGGAACCTCTCATTTTATTTTTTTCTCTTGCTTAGTTCATCAAAATTGTAGACCCAGCTGAAAAGTGTCAGTGATTTTCATTCTAATTCATTAACAATGGCAAATCAAGACCAGAGCAAGATAGTATTCCTTTAAATCCAGCAGCAGAACCTTTCCCAGGGGGCAGAATTGGTGGGGTGGTAGGGAAGGCAGAGAAGGTACTCTCACAGCCTATCCTTAGGCATGTTCAAAATGCAGCAGAAATCACGCAGAAGTGGTGAATAATATTGAGGATAGAGAAGCAGTTCAGAAAAGGAATTTAAAGGGCAACCTGGGTAATACAGTGAGACACCGTCTCTACAAAGGTAAAAAAAAAAAAAAATTAGCTGGGCATGGTGGCACGTGCCTGCAGTCCCAGCACTCAGGAGGCTGAGTTGGGAGGATAGCTTGGTCTAGGAGGCAGAGGTTTGCAGAGAGCTGTGGTCATGCCACTGCACTCCAGCCTGGGCCACATAGTGAGACCCTGTCTCAAAAACAAACAAACAACAAACTAAAGGGATCACATCATTTCAAGATGTTGTGATAGCATTAATGATTGAGGATTGTTTCAAATGCTGGATAAGTACCCAGAGCACCCATCCATGAGGTTACTTTCAATCCTTGTCAAAACTGAGAAGCAAAAGATTGTACTTGGTACTCCCCCCTCCCTATACCAATACAGTAAACTAAACCCTCCAATGAAAACAATTCTCAAAATGCTTTATTTATCCTAAATAAATTTAACAGCAAATGGACTAGCAGGGAAAGTGTTACTAGATGTTACTGGTTTACCACTTCTATCTCTACTGTATTGCTTGACTCCTACCACTGTTCCTAGGACTACTACTACTAGTACTACAACCACTATGTAGTTAGTGCTATGTCTAAAAAGGGTGCTTAATAAGTCATAGATAGATAGTAGGTAGGTAGATAGATGAATAGATGGATAGATAGATAGATATCACACTCACGTGTGTGTGTGTGTGTGTGTGTGTGTGTGTGTGTGTGTGTGTATGTATAACAAACTTAATATGTTTCATTTCCACTTTGGAAGTGATTACATTTCTTAATAGATGCCTTACTAAGGCATCTATTAAGGCAAGAAAATAGATTGCCTGTGTCCAAAAACAGGACCAACATATTCTGGCTCCAAATCCACTTCTCTTTTTCTATTTTAACTAATCCCCTTCTTGATGAAATGGGAGAAAGTGATGAAACAATATACTTTCCCCTAACCAAATCCCTATAAAAGCACAAATTCAAATAGTTCAAAATTTCCTCTTTATTCCCTATTCTAAAATGGCAAAAATAAATGTCAGCTTGAGAATTGTGTTTCATGATATATTTTTGGCCCTAGCCATATAACAAGGTTAATAGACATAATCAATAAGAAATTATTTTTCAGTTCGGGGAGAAAAAAATATCAAGTGAAACAAAATATGAAGCAAAGAAGCATACCCATACATTTTATGAAAACTATATATGATAGAGGTGAAATTAGAAAGCAGTGGGAAAAAAAGATGCATGTCATTAGGACAATTGGTCAGGCAGATGGAAAAATTTAAAGTTGTTTTCTACCTCACACCATAAGAAAAGAAATATAAAATTAGATCTAAAAATCAAACGAGAAAAGCAAAATTTCTAGAATTTAACAAAAAAATAGAAAAGAATGTTATGAGTATGTATATGGCTAATAAATTATTTTCTCTTCAAACAAGACAAAAAGTAAAAACTAGAAAAATGCTAAATGCATGTTCCTGCATTTTTACTATCTTTAGATAGTTTAAAAAAAAAAAGGCAAACTACCATTTAAAATGATATATCTGCAACAACTACTACTTAATCAAAAGAAGGTAGTTAAAAAAGGTAAGCTACCATTTAAAATAATATATCTGCAACTACCGCTACCTAATCAACAACATTAGCATTCAGCACATACCATTACCTTCTCCAAATTTCTGATAGACAATCACCCCAACAGGAAAATGGGAAAGTCATAAGAACAAGAGCTACCCATATGAGGAAACTCAAATGGACAGATTAATAAAAACATGCCCCCATTGGTAATCAGATAAATGTTAATTAAAATACTGAACCATAAGGTAACATCCATTAGAATGGCACAAAAAATACAGAGAAAAGAAGTCTCATACTATGAGCGTGAGACTGTGTATAATAGCTTAAGTTCCTTGGAGAGCAATTTCACAATATTTAGTAAACTTTGCATTAAGGATGTGCATAATCTTTGACTAAGGTAATTCTACATCTTCGTGTATGTATATCTTAAAGAAATATGTATATATGTATAGAGACATATATAAAAATGTTTACAGTGCATCGTTTATAATAGGAAAAGCAAAACAAATCATTTAAAATATTCAATGATTTTAAAGTATGATGATTCAATGATAATTTAAAAATACATATGTACTGAGAAAGATTCTCTTCTTGGCAAAACTTTAGTCAGGTTTCTGAACCTTCTCCTAGGTCCATCTGTGCACTTCCTTGTAAAATCCAGTTTTGACAAAGAAGCCCCCACCCTTGATATCTGATCACCTCTAATATCTGATAAAGCCCTTATCCTCCAGCATCCTTCTGGTAATATCTGATCAACCCAGTCTATCTTCAGCAAGAATCCCGTTAGGTCAGTTTAGCCATAATCCCTCTTACTGCTGTTTCCTCTGAGTAATTTTTCATCCACTGATTCCCACACTGATCCTTGGCTATAAATTTCCACTTAACCCATGCTGTATTCAGAATTGAGCCCAATCTCTTCTCCACTGCAAAGTCCCATGGTGTGGTCCCTATACCTATCATGATGGTCCTGAATAAAGTCTTCCTTATTGTCTTTTAACAAATATCATTGAATACATTTTTATTTAACAATTAATGTACCTCTGGCACATATGTGTGTGTATTTATAGAGAGAGAATGAAGTGCTAAATAAAATTTAAAATGATTGAAAGAGAACTCCATATATTGATATGAATAATGTCAAAAATATCATATTGAGTAAACAAAGCGAGCTCCCCAAGAAAATGTGTAGAATATATATGCATTTGCATAAATTTTCAAAATCTGTAAAGCAATACTGTATATTGTATGTGAATACGTATTTATGTAGTAAGAGTTGGAAAAAAATAAATGACAATGAAGAGTACCAAGTTCTATATGGCTATTAACTCTGAGTATGGAAAAATCACATTTTTACTGGGTACATAGGAATCTTCATATGCCTCTGAAGTATTCTGTTTTTAAAAAAAAAAATTTGAAGCAACTGTTGTAAAACATGGGGATCTGATAGATCTGGGTAGTGGGTATGTAATTGTCATTTTTTTATTCTCCATGCTTTTCACATATATGAAATATTGCTTAATATAAAGTGGAACAAAGGTGAAAAATACCATAAAATAAATCAGATTAATATCACAATAAAATAGAATGTTTTTATATTATTAAATATTAAAGTATCTAAATTGTACTATGCCTGTCCAACCACTAAATATTTTATAAAGAAATGCATTGTGTAAATTTCAATTGCATTAATACAGGATTATTTTGTGTCTAGGGGAAACATTCAATTAGCTCTGATGTAGGAATATGAACCTGCAAATTAATAATGTATACATGGTTTACATTACTCCAGACAAAAATTATTTGTCATAAGAAGCCGTGCCAACCAACATACAATCTACACCCCAAAAGTTGTGTTAAAAAACTGGAAACAAATATCTCAAACTAATCATAATAACTCTTACTAGGCTAAAGGACAAGCATATTGATTGTATTATGCTGCTAGTCTCTTCTTCTCAACCCTGAATTTGGATTTCACCCAACTTCAAATTCTTCTACTTCTTCTATAATATGGATCTCTTCCCCTTTCATCAGCTCTGGAGTTGGTGGTCAGCTTGGACCTTGGCATCCCTTATGGAATCTCTCCAGGTAACTGGGCATCGTTTAATTTTTTGAAAATTTTCACAGAGAAGTTTTTAAGAAGTATGGCCTCTGTTTTCCAAAAACGGTTTTATCTGCCTCATTACAATATACTGGTTTGTTTTTATTTTGACTTTTAAGTCATCTAATCCTCTGAGCAGCATTCTATGTATTTTTATTTCTCTCATTTTATAAATGAGACAATTGTGACTCTGCTATATTATGTGACTTGTTCAATAAATGACAGAGTTTTGATTCAAATGCAGAACTTCTAACATTCAGCTACCCAGAGATTCTCTTATGCCCTCCTTGAGAGACCAGGGATAACAAAATATTACTTAAATCTGCTTGGATTTTTAGGAAACTGGTAAGTTAAACTCACACAATATTATATATGTAGATAAACTTACAATATACTGTTTTAATTGTCTAGTATTTTTATCATTTTATCTAAAGATCTTTACTTTTCGGATTGCAAATATTACACAAAGCTTAATTAAATACAGATGTTACACAAAGATAACTTGAAAATAAAAGCCTCTGAAAATTTTACCCATCAGAAATCACCATGCTAAGTAATTTAATGTGTGTAACTACAACTTTCCTGAGAGTATTAACCATATTTATCATTAAAATTTATCATCTTAACATTCGAATGAAAAATACACTAATTGTTTTTCAAGCTGATTTTTTTCACGTAATATATCTAGGGCATATTTTGCTTGTTTATACACTACCTACTTAATTCTTTTCAAGAGCTGTGTAGTTTTTCAAAATATAACCAGTTTCACATCCTTGTATATTAAGATTCTTCTCATGGATTGCCATGACAAAGGAAGCGACAACAAACTCTCATAGATCTCTCCTCAAGCACTTGTGGGAATGTTTACATAGAATAAAAGTCAAGAAATAGAAATGCTAAATATAAGGGCATAAACATTTTTTATTTTTTCTAAATATTGTTAAAATATCCTCAAGAAAAGACTGTCTCGTTCCATTAACATTATAATTTTAAGTAAACGTTAACGTGCTCCAAGTCTTGTGAACCTGAGCACCAAGTTTGCAGCTCAGGATCCTCAATTATAAAATAAGGAAAGCAATGTTTGCCAAATCTATTTCACAGCACTGCCATAAAAGCCAAATAAAATATTCCATCTGAAAGCATTTGTAAAATGTTTTTATTTCAAAATCCAATCTTTCAACTAAAAGAGAGTACCTGCATATGGTAAAAAGTACCTGCATATTTGTAAATGATACAAACAAGTATTATAATCAAAATGTCCCTTGGACAGATGGCCAGTCCCTTTCTGTGGAGCCACAGGAATGTCTAAACATGTATGTCCAATTTGTCTACTGTCATTTGTTATCCCTTCTTCATTCAATCTGTTGAAAATCAGACCTTTCCGCAATGCTTTAAAATCTCATCCCTATTTTCTAATAGATGTTTTCATAATGAGCTCGCCATTTCTTTTTTTGTTCTGACTTTTCATTAACATTTGGTGAATTTTGATGGCCCTTCTATCTTTGTAGCTGAGACTGCTCACTAGATTATCTGCTGCATTAAATGTACAGCCTGATTTGGTGAAATGAGTAACTCAGCGACAGGTCTCCTGGCTATAAATGGGTCATCTCAGATGTAGCCATTTTCCTTGGGCATACTTTTGTTTTTTTCCACCCCAAGCTTCTGTACTCACCACTTAGGAAATTTTCATTTTTATTTTTAGAGGTAGGGTCTTGCTCTGTCACCCAGGCTGCAGTGTGGTGGCACAATCACAGCTCACTATAATCTCAAACTCCAGGGCTCAAGCAATCCTCCCACTGGAGCCTCCTGAGTAGCTGGGACTACAGGCCACATCGCCAGGCCAGGTCATTAGCACTTTCACCTGGAGGCAGACATTCTCATCATTGCTGATTAGCCCCGCCTGGTGCTCCTGCTGCCACCGGCTTTCCCTGGGCCTCTCCAAATCCCTGAGTCCATCAGTTCTAGAAATGAGGCAACCCTGAGGCTACGCACATTTCCGTGATTGTGTTCTCCTACGTCTTCACCTTCACATTTTCTCTTCATGAGATGAAAGGCTACTCAGCATACACTCTTAAAACAAATGAATAAAAATAAATTGATCTTGGAGAATTTCATAATGTTCAATAGCCTGGTGCAAATCCATGTGTATACGAAGGGGTGAGAAACTTGGAAATGGAAAACGTGTAAGAAAATCTAATGCAGAAACTTATTCTCACACACCATTAGTAGGTAATCTAGAAGCTGCAAAATCTCTTTGCTTCACAATTCTCTTCTGTTTTTATTTCTCATATTTGATAGTATAAGATCAGTGAACATACAACTCCAACTACTTTAAATTGCATGTCAATAGATGTGGTAATTATCAATGCTCACCTAAATAATAGCTATGTATCCTGAATTATGTTACGTTACTACATATGATGACATATTTTATAAATTTAATCTCCAGTAATAAGGTTGTAATTAAATGCTTATTGATTTTGTAATTTTAAGCTCATTGCTAAGAAACATTATTACACATACTTATTTGTTTCCAATTCCTCATTGTCTTGAAATAACTTAATCAAATACTTAGAAGGCAACTCACTTAAAAGTGTTGCTTAGAAACAGAATCAATACGTTAAGGAATAAAATAAAGTGAAACTGTGAGTATTTCTTATAATTGTAATATAAACAAGCAAGATGAAATGCTTATACTCTGAAACCCTAAGGGAATGTTTCAGAAGAAGTTATCTCTCTCATTGTTTACAAGAAAATCAACAGTTTTCTGTAGACATGCTATTCAAGAATTATTTAGCAATGTTAAACTCATGAATTAGGTTAATCATCCAAGAAAATGTGATCACTTGTCATACCATTTATGATGTCTGTACATACTGAAATAGGGTAACACTAAAGAAATTTTAAATTGTAGATATTTTTATTTCAATATAGAGCTAAACATTTAGCTAAAAGAAACGTATTTGGATAGGTGGTTTTATAGCTGTCATTCAAAAATTCAAATTTAAGTGAATTTTAAAAAGTGTGTTATTGTTTAATCATTTTGTATAGAGAATGGAATTGTTCTCTACATTAGAGCATCCAAAGTAAGAAAATTTTGAGATTTCAGCATGGATTTGTTGTCCTTACAAAATCCATGCATTATAAGCTGAGGAGGGAGATACGTGAAACACTGCTGTTGCTGAAACCATTAAGGCAACTTACAGAGCATATATCCCTGAGTTTCTGACTTTATTTTCAGAATTTTGCTTCTCAGGCAAATTCCAATCACTTAAATCAAAAAACCAAAATGGAGATCAATTAAGATCTCTTCCTGAAATAGCTTATCAGTCATCAAGCGTGAATAAAGGAGACAGAGAGACTTTGAGAGACAAGGTGTCTAGATAATGATCTCTCTCTTCTAGTCTGAGGGCTTGTCCCATAACGCTGTGTGTCAAAGACCTCATATGCTGAGCGAAAGATGAGAGAATTCCTCTAACACACCACGAAGAATGGACCTCAATTAGTTTCCTCTGAACCAATTGTGCAAAGAAAGGACCTTTGCAAAAAACATACGCCTAGTCTTAAAGAGGTAGAAGAAATTACAGACACTCTTGTTGAGGATGGAAATGTCCCAGGGACCCTAGCTTAATTCCACATCAGCTCTATGTGTAAATTTTCCTCACTTCCTTCAAAAAAATCTGCTCCTTAATGTCAGAGCAAATTTCAGCTCAGCAAAATGTTGAAGGGACTAGTCTTGATGTTTGCCAACTGATTGCAATAGCTCCATTTTTAATAGAAATAGCATTTAAAAAGTATAAATTAAACACTTCCAAAATCCTCCCTGATCTTTATACCCTCCCTTTTGATTTCTTTTATCCACGCCTCCTAGGTCATAAAAACAATAGTTATTAATGCTCTTTTTTGTTAGTTCAAACGGTAACTATCATTATTGCAAATGGCAATTGCTAGTCTCTCTGCAATAACCTCGTTCCTAAATAAAATTTTCTTGTTTTGTTAATTGTCTTGCTGTACTCACATTAAGGTTTACTTTTTATAAGTGAATAATGGCATGAAAATTTGCTGGAACAAACAATAATATTAGGTGGCTTATATTCAACTTTATGGTTTTTCAGGGGATTTCAATCTGCTTATAGTTACACAGAATTTTTCTAAGACAACTGTAAGCAGTGCTTACCTGGCTAACTGAATAGGGAAAAGTTACTACATTCACAAGATTTTAAGAAATGAAAAGACTATACAAATAATTTAGTTCAGGTTCCTTATTCGACTGATTAGGGAATAGAAATTAGGAAATTGTTGAGTCACTGAATGACTTACTAGGAAATGACATTGTCCAAATAAAATAATCGATTTCCTAATACCCAATATAGGACTCTTTTCCTTACATTATAATTTCTTCGGGAATATTTTCGACCAACTGAAAACTTATTAAATAACTTTCAAGTTCCTGGCGCCTATGTCTATCTATATGTATGTATTTGTATGTAACTGCATGAATGAGTAATTCATTTCAAATGTCATAGAATCCTGGAACTTTGCTCTGCTCTGTGAGGCTACAGCGGGAGATGCTTCCTTAGCGTCCATGGCTTCAAGCAAAGAAAATGATAGGTCCTGGGTGAAAGCTTTTACACTGGCTCATAAGGCCTGATGGTCAAGCCCTCTTCCCCTGCCCCTTCACCTCTCTCAGGTCATCTCTGATCACTCTCTGTCTTCTCACACCACTCCAGCCCCTCTCGCCTCCTGTGTCTGGAGTGTGCCTGGCTCACTCCTGCCTCTGAATATTTGCACTTGCTTTTCCTACTGCTGGAATTGCCTCCCTTCCTGTATTCTGGATAAATTGTCACCTGGATGGCTCACCTCCATTCATCAGAAACCCTTATTCTAGGGCCATTTACTTTAACTCCTTTTCAAACATTTCTTTATTATAACAGCAGTTATTAAATTATTTCTAAGAAAAGTTGTTTCTATGTGATACCCTGCCATCTGACTACTTCATGTTTATCCCATTTATGTAATCCAAGGGAAGTCCTGTAGGCCAGTTAAACATCAATCGGGAAAACGGCAAAACAAAACAAAACACACAACCAAAAAAAAACAGAGCATATTTTGAAAGGTGTGCATGGATCATGGGTAAGTCAACGCTATTGCATCTCTAGGTTTTAAAATGGGAGTCCTCTCAACAATGTGGCGAATGGATAAATCTTTTCTGGAGTTGTGGATGATAATCCCTATGGCTGAGTGCCTAGACTTGACTGCAAATTAAGAGGGAGACAGAGAGACTGAGGCACTTCCTGGTCTCTTATTACATTTCAGAGTTCCTATTCAGGGCTCCCTTAACGTAAGACAATTCTTACCCTCTAACATTTTACAAGGAAAATGTAAAGGGAGACACATCTCAAAAAGATTAATCAAATGTTTAGCTGTATAAAAATTGTGAAAATCGGTTATATGAGAAGTAATTTTGTTCCTAAACAATTTTAAAATATTAAACATTTTTCTCTCCTTCTTCAATTTTAATATTAAAGCCCAGAAGGATGATTATTCACAATTATTCTATTTCAATTTCTTGCAAGGCATTTGCTCTAAAAAAAAGTACCCTCATTAAAAATAATCTTTATGATAGAAATTGCATTGAATTATTTCAGGATATAACTCAATACTCTACTGATTATAGTCTTTGGGTTAAGACCCTGAAACCCCTAGTTGTACTAATATGTATTTTTTTCTTTTCTATTCCATTGTTAATTGCAGGTGGTGATGAAGCTAACAAACCTTGTAAACAAATATTTACACAATTACTGGAACATTACCTCATTAAGTAGTAAGTTTGGAAAGATTTTGTTTGCCTATTTGGTTTGTGAAACAGACCTCTAGATAGAAAAACTGACACAATTTTCATGACGATTTATAAAAAACAAAACTATTTTATTTAATTTATATTCTAATTTTATACATTTGCAATAAAATCTACATAAAAGTTGGAGAAAAGAAAGATTTCTACATGACAATAATTATCTTTATGAATGACCAATAGAAAATATTTTCTAAAGTAAATAAGAGTTGTTGAATCCAATTCTTTAGGTAAACAACCCAAAATCTTAGACAGATGTAATCTTTAGACCATAATAATTAAGAAATTATTAGGATGTATTAATAGTTGAACATTAAATAAGAAATATTTTGGAAACTCTTGAAAGTAATAAATAAATATTGTGGAGGAAAATAAACCAGGAACTTGGTGTCATCACAGAATAATTAGTTATTGAGAAGAGATTTTTGAAATCAAGATTCAGATAAACCCAGACTCTAACAACATATGGAGTCTGCTGGGAGATAAAAACAGCAGTTGTTCCTAAAGGGCAACGCGCTTGTTGCAGATGGACTGTATGCCTCTCGGGGAAAGGGAAGTAAATGAGTTTCCTGTGTTGACATCGGGGTGGTCTTCTCCTTAGCTTGTGAGGAGTCAGTTTCTCACAGCACAGAGGGAGAGAAAGGAAGTCCCAAAAGCCCCCCTACTTCCCTACACAAGGGTGCAAAGCAACAGCTTAGGAGCAATTGCAACGGAGAGAGGCCACAGGTCGGGGATGAATCTGCAGCATCTTTGGGCTCACAGAGAATGGGAACAGCCTCTGGGCTTTTTTGCTAAGGAAGATTCCTGCTCCTTCCTGGAAACCCAGCCTGGGTGCCAACCAGTCTGCACAAAGTGGATGGGTTGGTACATGTAGCAGCAGTGTCTGCAGCGCAGAGGCCTAGGACTGTCTTCCGTTATCAGAAGGGTTGGGCAAAAACAGCCACTGCAATGAACTGGATGCCGCCTAGACATGAGGAAATGCCTCTGTGAACTGCTCCAGGGATCTGCCCTACTTTGAAGCCAGACAGAAAAGTGGATAGAAACTGCCATCCCGACAAATCTGCTTATCGGCTCAACATGGAATGACTATTTTGTTACTCTCATACTTCCAAGTTAATCTAGAGACATAGCTGCTACAAAATTTAAGAGTATGTCCTTTTTATCTTTCTCGTTGTAAGTCAGTGTCCTTTCTTTGTGTCTCCACTATTTTACGTTAGTCACAAGTTGGCCCTGTGTTATTCTTACTCTTTCAAAACAACAGCTGAGTCTTTATTCAAATTCAACAGAAGATGAATCCCAGAGATATATGAGTTTCATAGATGAATTGGAAAGAGACATGTGTTTGGTCTGCATTTCTATGAAATGAGAATGAATATATTAATTCTTCAAATAAAAGTAAAAAATGGCTTTGAGTTAACAGAAAGATGGATATTCATTTTATAAAATTTAATTTCCAATTACCATGCTGCGTATGCATGGGTAAATAGGCAAAGAGATAAGATTTGCAGTGACAGACTGTAGAAAGAAGAATCATCCTACTAATTCAGACGACATCTGGGCTATTCAGACAACAACAGTCAACATTTAGAAAATGAGTATTAAATTCTTACTGATTTGTCCAGCTCTATCAGAGTGTTCATTTTACTGAAGACATTTTGGACTTTAATTTTAAAATACAGAGCAAGCCTCTCAAGAGTGAAATCCTTTTTGTAACTGACCAAGTCTATCTGTCCAGATTGCATTTTTAAAAGTAATACATAGAAAAAGGAGCAACTGATATTTGAACAGCTAGCAAGTTCATCAAAATATTGTTAAATGTGTATAACTTTATTAAAAGCATGTAAGTATTATTTCCCTTAAACATATTTAAAGCTAATTTTGTTTCTCAACAATAAACTTTGATGTTTTTGTTTTTGTTTGGAACTTTCAAACACTTGAAAACTAGTGTATACCTTAATTCACCCAATATTTTGATAAATTCTAGGAAAACACTTCATCTTACGTTTCATGCCATATTCATTGAAAAACTGTTCACTGGCCTTGTACTACCTTAAGTGTGCTTCCCAAGCTACTGTCAAGGTAGGAAGGACTCTGAGAGGACAGGGGCTGTTCTAACATTCTATTTAGGGCCTACTTCTGATTAGAGTATTTCATCCAGTGCCAGAAAGCCACAAAGCCTTCTAGTTTTCTTTCTTTTTTGGTCCAGTCTAGTCTTAGCTAGGTTAATTCAGCTGTCCTGAGTGATTAATTGCTGAGCTCAGAAATAAATATCCTGTGTCACATCAAATTCCTTTATATTACTGTGTGTGGTCTCCTGCACTCATCAACAGATATGTATACATGGTGACTGAACAAAAACATACCCTTTCCCACCCCCACCTCTCTCTACCACACAAAACAATTCTAACTGAGGGGATATTGCTGGAGTAGTACAGCAGCTAAGAGGGAAGATTCAATGTGTTACAAAAACATCACAAGGATTGGCATTTTCTACTTCCAAAAGGTGTTTTTACCTAAAAACTTTCCTTCTGTGTTGTCAAAATACCTTAATTAGAAGTTGACTATCAGAAAATGACCTTGCAGCTTTTCTTTTTTTTTTTTTTTTTTTTAACATTCCTTCAATCAGCCTTTTCAACATTCAGTGATTAACCAAAAAGTATTTTAAACAAATGGGAATAGTTAGATCAGTGCTAAATATGCCACCAACACAAATATTACTAATTGTATGAATATCTCTACAGCTTAGGGACTGTGGTAAACTGAAAAAGATCAGATCATCTTAATGATTCTGCATTGAAGCAATGGGAAAGGAAAATAGGGTTGATGTTTTGACTGTAAGTTACCATTCACTAGAACACAGAAGTAATTCCCAGTGTATCTAGTTATAAGAATGAATCTTACTGCAGAGGAGGTTGAAATGTATCATATCCATCTGTTTCTTTGGACAGAAAGACTTCTTGTTATACAACAAGTGATCTGACAGCAGCAAGAACATTGAGAAACTAGCCACTGTGGAAAAAAAGAACCATCATTAAAAAAAAATAAGGCCAAATTATCTCCCAAATTTATTGGGGGAAAAAAAAATCTTTGGTTAAAGAAAACAGATTTGCCATGGGGAAGTGTTAGTCTATATTTGGAATAAAATATTAGTAAAATATGAATTTAAACATTTGCCAGACTGTGTAAATGGAGAGTTGAAGAAATTCTCAGGGCCTGGAGAATTTTAAGGGTGCAGAACAATCTTTATCGGTTGTCCACAAAGATTACCTTCTGCATATGAAAATGCAAGACTCCACTTCATTAGTCTATAGAGATGCTTTTTCTTTCAACATCCTAAAGACTGCTTACAGTAAAGGAAATGCAGGAGTAAATTATGCAACCAGATAAAAGTTCCACAGGAAAGGTAGAATGTTTTCACAACAGTAGTGGGATAAGGGAGTCCAAGTCAAAACCCTGCACGAAATGAGTATCCTGAAATACTGGGAGATTAACACAAATGCAGGATTCAGTTTATACTGTTATTCAATGATCAGTTAACCTGAAAAAGATGAAACAAAGCTAAAATACTGGACCTCTCTGGGGGCATAAAAATAGATCTGTTTGGTGAAGAAGTAAGCAAGAAAAGAGGACTTATTCAAGGAAATGATCAGAACAACAGGTCAAATCAGGCCATTTCACTAGGTTGAATCTCTAGTGGGAGAGATTTAGAAACCCAAAGGCTACAGAAACAGATCTTGTGTGAGTGGTAATGTGAGATTATAGCACCAATAGTTAGGTCATCAGTGTAAAACACACTTTTTTTCGGTTTTTATTTTTGTTTTTCTCTTTAATGATGTACTGTAAACTAACCCAAGTAATACCAACCTAATGTGATAGGAGTAAATAGCAACGGAAACTAAAACACAGTTATGCCTTCCTTATTGATATATGAATACCAACGTCTCTTTTTAAATGCCTTCTATTGAGAATAAATAAGAAGGTATAACAAAATGCCTACTAGGTTAAAATACATCATTTTCCTTTTTAAATAACATATTAACATTTGTTTAAAGTTTACATGTTTTGAGGAGCTGTAGGAAAAGCTTATTTGATTTGAAACTCATAATAATTCCTTAAAACAAAGCAGATTTGATTATCCTTGTTTCACAGATGAGAAAATTCAGAACCAATTAAATGTATGGATGACTGAGACTGAGCTCATCAAATATCCATGTGCTTCCTGTTTGTTTTCCAGCTTCTCCAGCAGTGAAGTTGGAGCCTTGTGACCTGTGCCCGACAGACTGTACTGTGAGCAGAAGCAGTGTGTTTTCCTGAGCTAAGGCAGTTCCCACGAGTGAACCTCCCTGAGCTGTAGAGACCTCGAACAATGTGTGTTTCAGTTGGCCTACCTGACAATGGAGAGGGCTAACACACATCGGACAGGATGAGTGTGGAAAATAATTCATTCTCACGTTAATCACTGGATTTCCGAGTTTGCACTTGCAACCCCTAATGTTCAATGCCTTTACTAATGTAGATATTGGAAATTGAAGTTAGATGCTACTGTATCAAAAACATAAAATATATGCTATTGGGTCAGTTTCAGATGTGAATGGCGAGGTGACTGGTATTAGAGGAAGAAAATGTAGTGGTTGGGTCAGGCTAACCCAAAGCATAAAAGGACATTGCCACCTGTGATCAGAAGGGAGGTTAGCCACATGCTTATTGTTTTGCAATTTAGAAAAAGAGCTTGGAAAGAAGTGTGTTTTCTGAATTGGCTACTATTGGTGGTAGTTGGCAAGATGCTGTAGAGGTGAATTGAGCGGGGAAAAAGTTACCAGCTAGCAATTAGAAATCAAAAGGGGCCAGGCGCGGTGGCTCACGCCTGTAATCCCAGCACTTTGGGAGGCTGAGGTGGGCGGATCACAAGGTCAGGAGATCGAGACCATCCTGGCTAACACGGTGAAACCCTGTCTCTACTAAAAATACAAAAAAAAAAAAAAAAAAAAAAATTAGCCAGGCGTGGTGGCGGGTGCCTGTAGTCCCAGCTACTCAGGAGGCTGAGGCAGGAGAATGGCGTGAACCCAGGAGGCGGAGCTTGCAGTGAGCCGAGATCGCGCCACTGCACTCCAGCCTGGGCAACAGAGCAAGACTCTGTCTCGAAAAACAAAACAAACAAACGACAAACAAAAACAAAAACAAACAAAAAAAGAAATTAAAAGGAATAGGTGATATTCAGAAATTCAGAGAGTAGCCAGGCACAGTGCTCATGCCTGTAATACCAGCACTTTAGGAGGCTGCAGCAGAAGGATCACTTGAGCCTGGGAGGTCCAGGCTACATTAAGCCATGATTGCACCACTGCACTCCAGCCTGGGTAACAGAGCAAGACCCTGTCTAAAAAAAAAAATAAACAGAAGTAGAAATTCAGGGACTGGATAGTTTGGAAAATCAAGCAAGGCAAACAAAATACAGGCATGCCTAAATAAGTGAAATAAGCCAGGCACAGAAAGACAAACATTGCGTCTTCTCACTTATTTGTGGGATCTAAAAATCAAAACAACTGAACATATGTCTCAGGGACATAGAGAATAGAAGAATGATTACCAGAAGCTGGGAAGGGTAGTGAGGGGCTGGGTGAGAGGTGGGGATGTTAACAGGTAGAAAAAATAATAATTAGAAAGAATGAATAAGACCTACCATTTGATAGCACAATAGGGTGACTATAGTTAATAATTTTACATTTTAAAATAACTTTAAAAATGTGATTGGATCATTTGTAACTCAAAGGATAAATGCTTGAGGGGATGGCTACCCCATTCCCCATGATGTGCTTATTTCGTATTGCATGCCTTTATCAAAATGTCTCATGTACCCCATAAATATATATACCTACTGTGTACCCACAACTATTTAAAAAATAAAAAATAAAAACATTTAAAATAAAAAAAAAAAGACATTGCAGTCTGGTTGCAGTTCCAGATACCCACAAAAAAAGCAAATAGTGCAATAAAAAAAATCACATGAATTTTTAGTTTTTTCAGTGCATATAAAAGTTACTATAGTCTACTAAGTGTGCAACAGCGTTATGTCTAAAATAATAATGTACGTATCTTAATTTAAAAATACTTTACTGCTAAAAATGCTAACAATCATCTGATCCTTCAGCGAGACATAATCTGTTTGCTGGTGAAAGGTCTTATTTCAATGTTGATGGCTGCTGACGTCAGCGTGGTGGTTACTAAAGTTGGGGTGACTGTGGCAATGTCTTAAAATAAGACAACACTGAAGTTTGCTGCATCAATTCACTCTTCCTTTAATAAAATATTTCTTTGTAGCATGCAATGCTGTTTGATAGAATTTTGCTTACAGGAGAACTTCTTTCAAAATTGGAGTCAATCCTTTCAGATCCTGCCATTGCTTTATCAAGTAAGTTTATATAATATTCGTAATCTTTTTTGTCATTTCAACAATCTTCACGGCATCTTCACCAGGAGTAGATTCCATCTCAAGAAAACATTTTTTTTCTTGCCTATAAGTAGTGACTCCTCATTTGTGAAAGTTTTATCATGAGATGGTATCAGTTCAGTCACATCTTCAGGCTCCACTTTTAATTCCAGTTCTCTTAATATTTTCAACACCTCTGCAGTTCCTTCTTCCACTGAAGTCTTGAACCCATCAAAATAATCCATGAGGATTGAAATCAACTTCTCCCAAATTCCTGCTAATATTTTGGCCTCCTTTAATGAATCACGGATATTCTTAATGGCATCTAGAATGGTGATCCTTTCCAGACAGTTTTCAATTATTTTGCACAGGTCCACCAGAGGAATAATTCTCTATAGCAGATATAGCCTCATGAAACATATTTCTTAAATAATAAGACTCAAAAATTGAAATTGCATCTTGATCCTTGGGCTGCAGAATGGATGTTGTATTAGCAGGCAGGAAACAACATTAATCTTCTTGCACACCTCCACCAGAGCTCTTGGGTGACTAGGTGGACTCTCAGTGAGCAATAATAATTTGAAGGAAATCTTTCTTTTTCCTGACCAGTGGGTCCCAATAGTGGGCTGAAAATATTCAGTAAACCATGTTGTGAACAGATATACTGTCATCCAGCACATCTTTTCTTGTCCGTATACAGGGCCCAGGGAGAATAGATTTAGCATCATTATTAAAGGCCCTGGGACTTTTAGATGGTAAATGAGCATTGGCTTCAATTTATACTCATCAGCTGCATTAGCCCCTAACAAGAGTTCGCCTCTCCTTTAAAGTTAGGCAGTGACTTCTACTCTCTAGCTATGAAAGTCCTAGAAGGCATCTTCTTTCAATAGAAACCTATTTTGTCTATTTGAAAATCTAGTTTAGCCACCTTCATCAGTGATCTTAGCTATATCTTCTGGATAACTTGCTGCAGCTTCTACATCAGCACTTGCTGTTTCATCTTGTATTTTTATGTAATGGAGACAACTTCTTTCCTTAAACCTCATGAACCAACTTCTTCTAGCTTCCAACTCTTGTTCTGCAGCTTCCTCACCTCTCTCAGCCTTCACAGAATTAAAGAGAATTAGGGCCTTGCTCTAGGTTAGGTTTTGGCTAAAGAGAATATTGTGGCTGCTTTGATCTTCTATCCAGACGACTAAAACTTTCTCCATATCAGCAATAAGCCTGTTTCACTTTCTTTTCGTGTGTGTGTTCACTAGAGTAGCACTTTTAATTTCCTTCAAGGACTTTTCTTTTACATGTACAACTTGGCTAACTGATTCAAGAAGCCTAGCTTTCAGCCTGTCTCAGCTTTTGATATGCCTCCTCACTAAGGTTAATCATTTCTATATTTTTATTTAAAGTCAGAGATGTGCAACTCTTTAACTTCAGCACTTAGAGGCCACTGTAGTGCTATTAATTGGCCGAGTTTCAATATTGTTGTATCTCAGGAAATATGATAGCCCAAGGAGAGGGAGAGAGATAGAGGAATAGCTAGTCGATGGAGCAGTCAAAACACACACTTATTGATGAAGTTCACCATCCTAAATGTGAGCAATTCATGGCCTCTCAAAACAATTCTAATAGTAACAGCACAGATCACCATAAGAGATATAAGAATAATGAAAAACTTTGAAATATTGCAAGAATTATCAAAATGTGGCACAGAGACATGAAGTGAGCACATGCTTATTGGAAAAATAGCATTGGTAGACTTGCCTAATGCAGGGTCACTACAAACCTTCAATTTGTAAAAAATGCAATATCTGCAAAGCACAGTAAAATTAGATATGCCCATACATAAGTGAAAAACCAAGGTACAAGAGGAGAACCATGGGAAGAAAAAGGTTTTGAGTGGCAAAATTCCTGTGAGACTTCTCAATGGGAAGAAATGACTCAGGGAAAATGGTACAATAATGAGTCTATTTTCCATCAGAGAGTCTCAAGGTAGCTACTATCTCATTCTACATATTTCCCCAAAGCTGAGCTTAAGCAGAAGGTGTACATGCAGTTTATTTGTAGGTGACTTGAGAAAAGAATGAGGCATGAGAAATGATTCAGAGATAGGAAGAACCAGTAGAAAAATGCATTTTGGAGTTGACCATTGCTAGGGCAAATGACTTTCAAGTTTGCATGATTTTCTGAAGACATTTGTAGAATTCATCTCAGAACTGTGCACCCAAGCAAAAGAAGGCAGAAGCTTTATCCATTGGCTCCCATCATCCACTGGCCAAGTGTTGATCTATTTCCACTCATTTCTCTGTGATTTCACTTCTGGCTTCTATGTGTGTGAATGCTGAGGAGTCCCTGGGTATGCCAAATCCTATAATCCCACGAAAGGAAGCAGAAGACACTTGATTCTGTGGAAAGGTACTGCCTGGTTATACTCACAGGAAAGTGGTCAAAGCTTATATGGAACTGAGTAAGCAACTTTAGTTGGCATCAAATGTGCCAAGGTTTTGAAGGGGTACATGAGGCATCCAAAAAGAAACTCAGTTAAGAGAAGTTGACACCTAAGCAAGCAAGAAAGGGGGAAAAGTTTAAGAATTATTTTTCAAAAAGAACTTTGTGTACACTTACTGACCCATGAAACAAGACAGGATACAAGTATTATAGATCATAACCCTATATACTTTCTGAGTAGAAAAGTATACTATTTTGCCAAAAAAACCGGAAGCAAGCATTGACACACACACAAAAATAATAAAAATCCTTTGACATTTTGAGAATTGAAGCAACCACAGGCTTCTATTATTCCACATAGGAGAAGAGAAGCAGACTGAGAAAATTGTACAACTTGCATAGTGGGCATATTCCCCCAACATTATTTTCAGACACTGCTGAAGAGGATAATGGAAAAGGAAGGAAGTCCAGGAGGCTACAGCCAGAGTTCCTGGTCCCTGGAGGCCAGCTAGGGAGCTCCCCCAGAGAGAGGAACAGGATACAATCAAGGTACCTCCCACACCACAGGAAAGGGCTCTTAATTTCTGCCTGATGTGACTTCCTAATTACCATGGAGCACCAACAGCTGTATCTCATTCCCCCTCCTCCTCAATGGAATTTTACTGCAGCTATATCGTCTCTATTTTAATGTTATATATTGGACGGGTGTGAGTGGGAAGAGGACAGACAATTTATCATGCTTCCTCCACAGGCTTCAGGAGCAAAAGGAGCAACATCTGGATACAATGGAGAAGATATGAGGATCACCCACAGATCTCGGACTTGAGCTAATTGCAGTAACTGGATGTAACTTTGGGTTATCTGCTTTGGGAAGGGATATGTGTGTGCCTTCTATGTGGGAAGAGAGAATGAATGAATATCCAGTGACCAAATGGTAGACTGGCAGAGGCTTTTAAAGCTTACCAGATATTTTCATGCTTCTCAATATTCCCCAGCTTTCTTGGAAATTATGTGGAAATATGAAAGTAAGTCTGGCCAAGGTATTGTGAGGGGAAGTGAGTCATTTTTTACCAAAGGCAGTCAGAAGACATTCTGTCCTTTCCTCTCTATCTCCCTGAACTTTGGAGGCCACAGGTTCTGTAGGATGTGTCCTAAGTCCCCTGTTGGATGGGAACTACCCTAAGGAGTAGCCCCACCAACATCAAACTCTGATGTAATTGAGAATTAAACTTTTGTCAAACTGCTAAAATTTGAGGGCTTGTCTGTTGCATTAATTACCCTAATATACCAAGATGACTCAAACTGTGAATTTTTTTTTTTTTTTTTTTGAGACAGAGTTTTGCTCTTTCGCCCATGCTGGAGTGTAGTGGCATGATCTCAGCTCACTGCAACCTCTGCCTTCTGGTTTCAAGTGATTCTTCTGCCTCAGCCTCCCGAGTAGCTGGGATTACAGGCGCCTACCACCACGCCCGGGTAATTTTTGTATTTTCAGTAAAGACGTGGTTTCACCATGTTGGCCAGTCTGGTCTCGAACTCCTGACCTTGTGATCTGCCTGCCTCGGCCTCCCAAAGTGCTGGGATTATAGGTGTGAGCACCCACACCCTGCCTGTAAATTTGTTTTTATTTGACATCCTCAAACTTTTCAATCACAGCAAAGCATCACAATTTATAATTCAAATGAGAGCTTTTGATATCTATCTATCAGCTCTCCATTCTTCTATGTATCTATGTTTCAATCAGAACTTCTTTGAAGATCAAATTTCCAGTAAGTTCTGGAGTCCTGGTCAAATGCAGGCTGAGAAGCTGCTCATCTTTGCAGTCTCAGTTCAAATGTGTTCTCACATATAATTCCCTTCTCCCCTCAGTAGAACTCACCACTCCATTTTGGGTTTCTCACTGAACCATTTTATCTCAGATAAGAGAAATCAACTCTAGCTAGTTTATTCAGGAAAAGTATTTACTAAAAGTTACTAGGCAGCTCTTGGGGGTCTTTTGAGGGAACAGAGAACAATTGTCCAGTCTTCACAACCAGGAGCGATGACTGAAACCATGTTGCAGAACGAGTTCAATCAAGGTATCACCTCTGCTACCCTAAGTAGAGACCCTTTGGCTTTATTGCTAATACTGACATGGTTGGGCACTTCAAGGTATGACTCTGCTGCCCTGGAACTTAGCCAGAGCTGCCACCCTCTGCACAATGCCTGATTCTTTGCCTCACTAGCTTCCTCTTCAAAATCTAGCCTGTATCATAACTGAAAAGTAAGGCAGGAAGAGTGAGTGAATGGCTTCCCCAGAGAGAAGCAGACAGCAAACAATTTGGGGAATTTCTAAAACACATGAAATATGTTCAGGGGCTGGATGGCCAAAAGAAATGACCAATTCCCAATGCAACCATGGACATACTGTTACCGTGGACTATAATGGGAATGTAATAGACACGTAGTAAATATGTGTAGAATAGATGAATAGATGAAATAATGACCAGGATTGAAGCATTCAGTTATTGCTATTCACTCAGCACCATTTTAAATGACACAAGAGTGATTGGACGGATAACATGGCCATACAGCTCCCATGAGTTCAACAGAATTATTATTTCAGCCCCATCCAGTTCCATAGCAATCAAAGCCAGAGCTACAGAGAATGAGCTCCAACCGACAGGCTCAGCCCCAGCCTAAAGACGAAGAGGAGCTCTGAGCTTAATGGGACATTGAAGAAAACCGACTCGGCTTCTACTATCAAAGTGAAGTGGGGAATTAGAGCAATTTTCCTGACACTCCAGGCAAAAGTGGGCAGTTTGCCTGGATTATCTAGGTCACTGCTTCAGACTCTCAGATTCATTTTGCCCGTGGAGAACTGTCCTATTAGCTCCAGTTACCACAGAGTAACTAACTCGGGGTAAAAACAGCCTCATTTCCCAACCAACCCCTTTTAACTATGCTTAAATGTCCACGATTTTTGGTCTTATTGATCTAGGCTGGATTTAAAAAAGCAACCCTTTGGAGATGGATTACAAATGCCACACACTCTTAAATTGCTATTATGTTTTTAAAGCAGAAGGTGTCAAATCAAATGATAAAAAATGAGGATCCAGTTCTCTCTCAGGCTCACTTGCAGGATTCCCTCATGATTATGATGGGAATGAATCATCTGCAATGATATGTAGGTTAGTAATGCCATTATAATAAAGTATGTAATTTAGGTTAGTCTCCATTATGTCAAGAGGATTGCCACATACTCACCTCCTTCTCTGACTTCTCAGCTTTGCCCCCGTGGCTTACTCAGGGCACTGTTAATTGACACAATTAAGAGTGAAGACTGATTTACAGGACCCAGAGGAGCCTCTGGGAAAGTGAGGTTCATGTACTGAGGGGAAGGTTTTATACACTGTACTATGGCTTCGTTTCTGATACCCAAATTCTTCTCTAGGTCGGTGAATAAAGCTAAAGTAGGAAGGAAACCAACAACCGTGTTACTGAAACAAATTTCACTCATTTTATTTCTATCTGTTTAAATTCTACCGTTTTAGCTTAAATTCTACCATGTTAGCTTGTACTTTTTTTTCGAGGTAGGAATGTGGCTTTGGACTTGCCTAGCTCTCATCCACTTTCCCATCATCTTGTTTTTTCTTATGATTTTCTGACACTATAACTATCATAAATTACAATGCAGTATCATCAGAATTCAAAATGTTTCAGTAAATAGTTTTCCCATGCTGAGAAAGGAAAGAGATACAAAAGAGTCAATAATTTCCTTCATTATGGAAGGAAAATTAATGTTCATTTCCATGAAGTGAATTTAGCTTTTGAGACACATATAGCACTTGGCCTTCCATCTCAACTGTAGAAATTCTTATTTACCAAGCAACCGCTTGATTCATCTAGCTTAACATCTTAACTAGGGAAATGCGAAAAGCCTGGAATTAAGTGGTTGTTTTTCACATGCTGAGTCAGAGAACAAAAACAGGGACCACATCTGTACTTATTTTAGTTCTATGTCTTGTATCTCTTCTTAGGAGATCAGCACTAGCAAACTGCTGTTAACTAGGGTAATTACACAGTACTCTGAACAGTGAGCAAAATAACACTGTGAGTGTCCAAGAGTTTGAACAATTTGGACTGATTTTGTATGGCATATAATTTACAGTAAAGATTCAGAATGCCTTTTTTCTTTTAAGAACAGCTTTCATCATTTAGCTTTAGATCATTACACATGGAGACACGTATTCACAGTCAAATTTGATACAGATAAATCTAAACATCTGCAAAAATAGAATAATTTTATTGACATTTACCCAGTGCTATCTCAGGCCATTTCTGTTTGTGATCAGCAGAGTCAAAGAAGTTAGCTGAAGCTTCTTGAGTCTAAAACTATGTCTAAAACAGGTAAACTGACATCAAGACTTGAATATAATTTTAAGAAATCAGTCAGGAAATATAAATGAGAGAGATCATCTAAAAGTATTATGTGGAAGCAAAGATATGATAAAACCTACAAAGCAATTAAATGAATAATATATTGAGCTATACATAAGATGTGAGTATCATAGCGCAATACAAACAAGAAAAGTGAATTTTTTAAAAGCAGCCTTCAATAAGCTCCACTCACTTGCTCATACATTCCATTATTTAATAAACAACCTTGAAGCTGGGGCGCGGTGGCTCACGCCGGTAATGCCAGCACTTTGGGAGGCCGAGGCTGGTGGATCACGAGGTCAGGAGATCGAGACCATCCTGGCCAACATGGTGAAACCCCGTCTCTACTAAAAATACCAAAAATTAGCCGGGCGCAGTGGCAGGTGCCTGTAGTCCCAGCTACTCAGGAGGCTGAGGCAGGAGAATGGCATGAACCCAGGAGTGGAGCTTGCAGTGAGCCGAGATCGTGCCACTGCACATCAGCCTGGGCGACAGAGAGAGACTCTGTCTCAAAAATAATAATAATAATATAAATAAAAATAAATAACCTTTAGCTTTAGGGAGAGGGGGCAATTTGAGGAGTGACGAGACTAAGTGGCTGAACCAGACACGCTTCCCTCAGGAAGCTCAAAGTTTAGCTTCTGGACAAAATGTACATAAAAGGCAAAAATAGTAGCAATGGATATTTCTAGAATAAAATGGAATTTCATCTCTTTCATAATGAATTGAGATTAATTTTTCTGTTAAGTAATGATGGTTCAAGAAAACAAATTTATATAGAAAGTACAGTATGCAGATAAAGAAAATGATAATAATACTATAATGTATATATTGAATTCACTGTACTATTGTCTTGAGTGAATTACAGCAACTGTTTTAATGACCTAGCCTACTTCCTAATGAAGAACCAACTAGCCAATAATTAAGGCATTCTTAAAATGAACAAGCTAAATGTTTAGTTATTGAAAAGTTATTTTTCACATTGTATTTATCATTCAAAATCATCAACATTAACTTCAAAAGTTGATTTAAAAAAGACTACCATTTCATGTTTTCTAAATTTAAATTTTTATAATAAAGGATATCATCAGTAGCCTTAGCAATTTTTTTTTTCAAAGTCATAGTAAGATTTAGAGACTTGAGGAATAAGAACTGAAGAATTGGAATGGATTGCATCATTTAATAGACATAAAGAATGGCTGGTGGTACAAGAAAATAATGAGTTCAAAGTATTTTTAAATCTATTATTAAATATTTCAGAAAAGGAAAAAAAGACCTAAAGAATTATGTAATAATTACTCATGTATCCATAACTGAACTTAAGAAATACATTATTTCATAAGTTGTATATATAATTGTAGAAAATTGTAGTAAATAATCCATGATAGCCTTTTCTATATCACTTGTTTATTTTTATTAATAAACTACTTTTAGAGAAATTTTAGATTTACATCAAAAGTGACTGGAATGTACAGAGAGTTCCCCTATACTTCCCGTCTTCAGTATCACACAATGCCCCCCCGCCATCAAAATCTCCCATCAGAGTGATGCTGTATTAGTTCATCCTAACACTGCTACAAAGAACTACCTGAGACTGGGTAATTAAAGAAGAAAAAGCTTTAATTGATTCACAGTTCCACCGGCTATACAGGAAGCGTGGCTGGGATGCCTCAGGATATTTACAATCATTTTAGAAGGTGAAGGGGAAACAGGCATGTCCTACATGGCTGGAGCAAGAGGAAGAGAGAGAGATGGGGGAGGTGCTACACACTGTTAAACAACTGGATCTCATGAGAACGCTATCACGAGACTGCAAGGGGGAAGTCTGCCCCACTGATTCAACCGCTTCCCACCAGGTCCCTCCCCCAACATTGGGAATTACAATTTGACAAGAGATTTTGGTAGGGACACAGAGACGCGCTATATTTGTTAAAATTCATGAACCTACACTGACACACCATTAGCACCCAAAGTTTATCATTTACATTAATTTTATTCTTGATGTAGTACATTCTATGGATTTTCAGAAACGTGCAACAATTTGTATCCACTGCTGTAGTATCCCAAAGAATTGTTTTACTGCCCTCACTACCCCCTGTTTGTTCATCCCTTCTTCTGCCTAACACCTGGAAACTGCTAATCCTTTTACTGCCTTTTCCAGAATGTACTGTTGTTGGAATCATGCAGCATGTAGGCTTTTCAGATTAGCTTTCACTTAGTAATGTTTAAGTTTCTTACATACCTTTTCATGACATCATAGCTCATTTCTTTATAGTGCTGAATATTATTCCATTGTCTGGATGTCTCACAGCATACACACCCACCTGATAAAGGGCATATTTATTGTTGATAAGTTTTGAAATATCATCTTTGGTAAGATGCCTGTCAAGGTCCTTTGCCCATTTATTAGTCAGCATTGAGTACTTTGTATATTTTATGTAACAATCCTTTTTTGGATGTGTCTTTTGCAAATATTTTCTCCCAGCTTGTGTCCTGTTTTCTCATTCTCTTGACATTGTCTCCTACAGAACAAGGCTTGAAATTATAATGAAATTCAACTTATAAATTATTTCTTTCATAGTTTGTGCTTTCGGTATTGTAGGTAAGAAGTCCTCACCATAGCCAAGATCATCTATATTTTTTTCTGTTTTCTTCTAGTTTTATAGTTTTGCATTTTGCATTTGAGTCTATGATTCATATTAGTTATTTTTTTGTGTGAAAAGTGTAAGGTCTATGTCTAGACTCATGTGTTTGTACGTGGATGTTCAGTAATCCAAGTGTCCTTTGTTAAGACTATCTTTACTCCACTCTGTTGCCTTTACTCCACTGTCAAATATCAGTTGCGTATGTTTACATGGGTCTAATTCTGGGCTCTCTATTCTGTTCCCTTAATTTATTTGTGTATTCTTTCACCAATACCATACTCTCTTGGTCACTGCAGCTTTATATTAAGTTTTAATGTCAGATAGTCAATACTCCAACTTTGTTCTTCTTCAATATTGAGTCAGCTATTATGGGTCTTACACCTTTCCATTTAAACCTAAGAATCTATTTTTTAATATCAGCAAAACAACTTCTCAAAGAATTTTCCATGGAATTGTGTTGAATCTATAGATTAAGTTGGGAATAAATAATATATCGAGAATATTAAGCCTTCCTATTCATGAGAATTAAATATTTTTCCATTTAATTCTTTGATTTCTTTCATCAGAGTTTTATATTTTTCCCATATAGATCTTGCACATACTTACTTTCTAAATTTATACCTAAGTAATTTTGGAAGAGCTAATGTAAATGGTAACTTGTTTTTAATTTCAAATTAAAATTCATTAATATATAGCTATTTATTGGTATATAAGAAAGCTATTGATTTTGGTATATTAACCATATATCCTGCAACTTTGCTGTAATCACGTATTAATTAAAGATGCATTTTTGTTGTTTATTTCCATGAAGACAATTATATCATCTGTGTAAAAAGGCCATTTTATTTCTTTCTTCCCAATATGTATACCTTTTATTCTCTATTCTTGTATTATTACATTAGCTCAGACTTCCAACGTGATGTTGAAAACAGTGGTGAGAGGTGACATCATTGTCTTGTTCCTGATCTTAGTAGGAAAGATTCATGTTTCCCCCCATTAAGTGTGATTTTAGCTGTAGGTTTTTGTAGATGGTCATTATCAATTTAACAAACTCTATTTTTACCTTGCTCAGAGTATTTATCATAAATGGGTGTTGAATTTTGTCAACTCTTTTTTTGCATCTATTGATATGATCATGTGATTCTTTTCAATTTAGCCTGTCAATGTGGTGGATTACATTAATTGATTTTTGAATGTTGAGCAAACCTTTCATACCTGAGATAAATTCCATTTGGTCATGGTGAACAATTATTTTTAAACACGTTGGATTTGATTTTATAATATTTTGTTAAGAATTTTTGCATCTGTGTTCATGAGAAACATTGGTCTACAGATTTTTTATATATAATATATATAATTATATGCTGTTTTATGTGTGTGTGTATATATATATATAAAAGTTATCTGCTGATGAATGTGTAGTCTGTAGACCAATGTTTCCCATCTATATATATATATATATATATACATATATATATATACACACACACACACATACATATATACACACACACATATATAATTAGGGTAACCTGCCCTTCCTTATAGAATGGGTTAGAAAATATTCCTTCCAATTTCGTCTTCTGAAAGAGATGTAGAGAATTGCTATAATCTCTTCATTTAACGTCTGGTAGAATCCACTAGCTGAGCTCATCTGGTCTGGACCTTTCTGTTTTGGAAGATTTTTAGTTATTGATTAAATTTCCTCCATAGATATAGGCCTAAACAGATTGTCTATTTCTTCTTGTGTGAGTTTTAGCAGATTGTGTCTCTATTAGTCTGTTCTCATGCTGCTAATAAAGACATACCAGTGACTGGGTAATTTAAAAAGAAAAGAGATTTAATTGACTCACAGATTATGAGTGATCTGTGAACACTCATGGCTGGGGAAGCCTCACAATCATGGCAGAAGGCGATGCAGGAGCAAAGTCATGTTTTACATGGTAGCAGGCAAGAGAGCTTGTGCAGGGGGACTCTCATTTATAAAACTATCAGATCTTGTGAGACTTATTCACTACCACGAAAACAGTATGAAGCAAACTGCCCCCATGATTCAATTATCTCCACCTGGGCCCACACTTGACACATGGAGATTATTATAATTCAAGGTGAGATTTGAGTGACGACGCAGCCAACCCATATTAGTTTCTTTCTAGGAAGTGGTCCATTATATCTAGATTGCCATATTTGTGGTCATAGTGTTGGTTCATAACATTTCTTTATTATCATTTTAATATCCATGATATCTGTAGTGATATTCCCTGTGGTACTTCTGATATTGATAATATGTATTCTTTCCTTTTTTTCTTAGTTAGCCTGGCTATAAGTTTATCAATTTTATTGATCTTTTCAAAAGCAACATTTGGTTTTATTTTCTCTACTGATTTCCTGCTATTATTTATTTTCTTCTGCTTGCTTCGGACAAAATTTGTTTTTCTTTTTCTAGTTTCCAAAAAAGCAAGCTTAGAGTACTGATTTAACATATTTCTTCTCTTCTAATGTACACATTCAATGCTATAAATTTCCCTCTAAGCACTGCATCCCAAAAAATTTGAGATTTTGCTGTGTCTCACAAATTCGGATAAGTTGTATTTTTATTTTCATTTCTTTCATAATACTTCAAAATTTCTCTTGAGATTTCTTCTTTCACCCATGTATTATTTAGAAGTGTGTTGTTTAATCTCCATGTATTTTGGGATTTTTCAGCTATCTTTCTGTCATTTATTTCTAGCTTAATTCCATTGTAGTCTGAGAGTAGATGTTGTACGATTTCTATTCTTTCACATTTAAGATGTATTTTATGATCCAGAATGTAACCCATCTTAGTGAATATTTTATGTGAGCTTGAGAATTATTCTCAAGCTCTATTTTAATTCTATTTTAATGAAGCATTAATTCTATTTTAATGAAGCAGCCTTACATGTCAATTATATTCAATTAATCAATGGTGCTATTTAATTCATCTATTTCCTTACTGCTTTCTGTCTGCTGGGTCTGTCCATTTCTGATAAAGGAGTATTAAAGTCTCCAGATGTAACAGTACATTCTGTTTCTCCTTGCAGTTGTATTCCTGCCTCCTGTATTCTTCATGCTGTCTTGTTAGATGCATACATATTAAGAATTATTACATCTTGATAGAATATTGACATCTTTATTATTCTGCAATGCCCCTATTTTTCTCTAATAACTTTCTATCTTTGAAGTATACTCTGTCTGAAATTAGTAAAGCTACTCCTTCTTTCTTTTGAAAAAGAAGAGCATGATGTATTATTCTCCACTACTTTTAATCTGTATGTGTCTTTAAAGTGGGTTTCTTGTAGACAATATTTATTTGAGTCTTATTTTTGATTTGCTTTTACAATTTCTATCTTTTAGTTGGTGAATTTAGACAATTGACATTCAAAATGATTATTGATATAGTTGTATTAATATCTCCCATGTTTGTTACTGTTTATTTATTGCTCTTTTTTCTTTTTTCCTATTTTTATCTTCTACTTTTCTTGCCTTTTGTGGTTTTAATTGAGCATTTTATGTATTTCCATTTTCCTCCTTTCCTAGCATACATATTTCTTTCTTAACCTTTTATAGTAGTTGCCCCTAGAGTATGCAATATACATTTACAACAAATCCAAGTTCACTTTCAAATAGTACTATACCACTGTGTGGGTAGTGCAAGTATCTTATAATAATAAAATAGTTCTAATTGTTTCCTCTTGGCCTTGGAACAACGCTGTCATTCATTTCACCTATGAACAAGCATATATCTATATGTACATAACTAAATACATTGTTGCTGTTGTTATTTTGAGCAAACTGTTGTCTTTAGATCAACTATGAATAAGAAAAATACATTTTTGGCTGGGCACGGTGGCTCATGCCTGTATTACCAGCACTTTGGGAGGCTGAGGCGGGTGGATCACTTGAGGTCAGGAGTTTGAGACCAGCCTGACCAACATGGTGAAACCCTGCCTCTACTAAAAATATACAAAATTAGCCGAGTGTGGTGGTACACACCTGTAATTCCAGCTACTTGGGAGGCTGAGGCAAGAGAATCACTTGAACCCAGGAGTCAGAGGCTGCAGTGGGCCAAGATCACACCATTGCACTCCAGCCTGGGCAGCATCTTAAAAAATAAAGAAAAATACATTTTGATTTTACCTTCCCTTATTCCTTTTCTGATTATCCTCCTTTCTTTATGTAGATCTTAGTTTCTAACCTATATTATTCTCCTTGTCTCTAAAGAACTTCTTTAACATTCTTTGCAAGGCAGGTCTACTGGTGAAAATTCTCTCAATTTTTGTTTATCTGAGAAAGTATTTGTTTTTCCTTCACCACTGAAGGATAATTTGACAGGGTAGAGAATTCTAGATTTTTTTTTCTTTTTATCTCAATACTTTTAATATTTTACTTCACTTTAGATAGAGTGCATAGGTGTGTTTTTTTATGTGATTTATTTTATTTTGGGGATTTATTCTGTTTAGTGTTTTCTGAGCTTCCTTGACCTGTAGTTTGATATTTGACATTAATTTGGAGAAATTATCAGTCATTACTGCTTCAGATATTACTTCTGTTTCTTTTCCTTATGACCTTATTACACATGTCACACATTTTGTAATTGTTTCATTATTCTTAAATATTGTGTTGTTTTTTCTTCATATCTTCTTTCAAATGACCCTATTTCCATTTTACATAAACCTGTTAGAATGGTTAAAATAAAAAATACTGACAACACCAAGGGCTAACGAGGATGTAGAATGACTGGAACAATTATAAATTGCTGATGTAAATGCAAAATTGTATAGCTACTCTGGGAAGTGGTTTGGCAGTTTCTGAAAGCATTAAATAAACACTAAACTTATATTTAACATACAGCCCACCAATCCTATGCCTAGGTATTTACATTACAGAAATGATGATATGGTTTGCTCTGTGTCCTCACCCAAATCTCATGTAGAATTGTAATCCCCAATGTTGGGGAAAGGACCTGGTGGGCAGTAATTAGATCCTGGGGACAGATTTCCCCCTTGCTGTTCTCATGATAGTGAGTGAGTTATCACGAAATCTGTTTGTTTGAAAGTGTGTAGTACTTCCCCCTTCACTCTCTCTTCCTTCTGCTCTCCCATGTGAACGAGGCGCTTGCTTCCCCTTTGCCCTTCTGCCATGATTGTAAGTTTTCCAAGGCCTCCCAACCATGCTTCCTGTACAGCCTGTCAATTAAACATCTTTTCTTCATAAAGTACCCAGTCTCAGGTAGTTCTTTATAGCAGTGTGAGAATGAACTAATACACACGAGAGCCTATGTTTCCACAAAAACTTGCACACAAAAGTTTACAGAAGCTCTATTCATAGTAGCCTCAAATTAGAAATAACCCAAACATCCCTCAGTGGATGAATGGATAAACAACTGTGGTACATCCATACAATGGAACGCTATTCAGCGTCAGGAAATAATAAAGTTGTATTCAAAGGCATTAAGCTAAGTGAAAAAAGAAAAGTTTCAAAAGAGGACATACTATATGAATCCATTTACATAACTTTCTGCAAAAGACACATGTAGAGTGATGGAGACTGGATCAGCATTGTCATGAGTGAGGGGGATGTGGAAGGAAGAGTTAGACTATGAAGGAAAAGCAGTAGCATAAAGAAGGTATTTTAGCAGAAAGGAGGAAGCGATGATGCAACCATTCTGTTTTCTTGTTACGGTGTTTACTTGAATCTCTACCTGTGGTTAAATTCATAGAGCTGTACGTACAAAGTATTTCTTTGTGTTTATTTCAAGCAAAACAAATAAAAAACAAAGCAAAACAAAAAACCCATGTATCCATTCAGAAATTTACTGTCAAACATCGCTCCAAAAATATAAAAATCCCTGGGTACCGAAAAGAAAGTTTGAAATATGATGGTTTATGTAGAGGAAGTCGCTAACTCTATTGCTTAAATAACAGCTTTATGCAGGGCAGGTAGTGGTTTGTAATGCTTTGCTTTCAACAAAATTACAGTAGGACCTAGTTCTGTTATCAGTTAATTTGTGATTTAAAAACTTTGGCGATTGATCTGTATGTGCTTTTTATATGTAACTAAGGGAGTTCAACTAATTAACAGCTACAAGGAGATTTCTTTCATTTCCATCTGCTTCTTTGTGTGAACAAAGTTTTTCAGCATTTACTTTTATAAAAATGAAAAAGAAAGAAACCCATGTAGGAATAGAATTGATGGTAAACCCTGGCTCATTTAGAGCACCAGCTCTTGTTTGTTGATGTCTTTTCATACCTATCTGAAATTTGTTTCTTAATTTCCTTCATCTGGTATATCCTATTTCCTCAAAGTTATTTTTTCAGTTTTTTGTCTACTTAGGTTTAAAAATGAGGCAGTAATAAGAAGATCAGAAGCTTTAATTATATTCACAGAGCTTAGCAGTTTTAGTGCTGCTATGGGTTGGATTGTATCCATGCTCCAAAACATATATAGGAGTCCTAATGTCTAATACCTTAAAATGTGGCCTTATGTGCAGGTAGGTTGTTTATGGAAATAATCAAGTTGAAAATGATCATTTTATTATGGCCATCCTAGTAGATGCAAAGTACTATTTCACTGTGACTTTGATTTGCATTTCCCTAATTAATATAATGATGTTGAATATCTTTGTGTGTGCTTCTTGACCATTTGCATATTTTCTTTGGAGAAATGATTATTCAGATTCTTTGCCATTTTTTACTTGTGTCTTTCTGTTGTTGATTTGTCAGCATTCATTATATATTCTGGATTCCAGACTTTTATAAGATGTATAATTTGCAAACAGTTTCTTATTTCCTTTGGATGGTCTTTTCACTCTTTTTCTCAAGGTTTCTTCTTAATGATCAGAATAAGTTATAACTCACAACATATTAGATGAACCTGCATCATTTATTTAAGAGGAATTTTCTTTAGCATCTATTATGTTCCAATCACTGTGGTAGGCACTGGGGAGTAGATAACAGAGATATAAAAAGAAACAATCAGACACACAGTTAACCACTGACCTTTCATAGCTCATAATCTAATAGAGAAGATAAAAAAATGTAAAAAGACCATTAAAATACATTTTGATAAAAGGAAGTGCATGTAGAAGGTACACCTGAATATAAATTAGGAAAGTCAAAGAAGGCATCACTGTGGAGGGGGCATGCAATGGTAGACAAAGAGCAGAGAACCAAGTTGATCATGGTACATCAGAAAGTAAGAACAGCATGTGCAAAGAGACATAAGAGAACCTGGTGCATTTAAAGAATTATTAGTTGTTTAAGGGGAGGCTATGGGAGAAGGCTCTGGTTAGGCAAGAAAGAACTAGATTACAAAAGATCTTGTACGCTAATCTAAAAAGATTAGACCTGGTCTCTAATGAAGGCTTGGGAGGATTTTAAGTAACAAGTGCCACAGAAAAAGATATGCATTTTAGAAAGACTATAATCTGACTTCAGAGAGTGAATTGAGGAATAAGACTGCAGATAAAAACAGCAGTTCTTGATTAAAAATGATGAGAGATGATGACAACCAAGATAAGATAGTGGCAGTCAGTACTGTCCTCAGGTCCAGCTGGTAGCCCCAGCTCTTCACATCTTACCCTGAGTAAAAACACTGTCCTTGTAACAACTGATAGGACCATATGTGATTTGACTTATGCACATCTCTGAGCTGACTGTGCTCCAGGCACACTTGCCTCCATGCCTTTTTCTGAACACTTCAAGCCAGCTCCTGTCTCTGGAGTGTTCTTCCTTCAGGTATCTGTGTGATTTACAGCTATAGTTTCTTGATGTCTCAACCCAGATATGACTGTACAATAGAAAACTTCGTTGACCAACTTTTGTAAGAAAGCACTCCCTTCATCCTCTATTTCCTGCTTTGCTCTTCCCACAGAACTTATCATCTCATGTAATATTTGGTTGTTAGCCATCTTCCTCCAAGAGACTGACTGATCCATGAGAGTAATGCTCAAAATATATTCATTGAATGAATAAACATAGGAATACAACATTTTGGAAAGAAGAGGATAGGTCTACTTATGATTAAGTCAAAATACATATGAGCATTCCATATTTTTTCATGGATCTCAGGAGAGAACCAACTGGATGCAGATTTAGAAGACATTAAAATAGGTGACAGTGAAGCCATAAATTTGAATACAGAATACATGGTGGGTCATTGATTAAACCATTAGCCCAAAATTTGTAGAACTTGCAATTAATCCTAAAAGTATGATTCTCATTATGGACACAGCTACAGCTAATGAATGTGTTCATTAAGAGCATAGAGGCTACAAAACCTTAAAGGATGGAGCTGCTTTGGGGGTCATTCAGATCAAACCTCACAAAATGCTTGTATTTTTAAATTTCTAGTCGCAGTAAGAGAATGCAATAGAAATTCAAAATTCTCGAGATTTTTAAACAAGTTCTCTCATCTTGCTCCACCTTCCAAACAATAAAAGAGAGAGAGATGTTTATTTTATTTAATTATTTTTTTGAGATGGAGTCTGGCTCTGTCAGCCAGGGTGGAGTGCAATGGTGCAATCTTGGCTCAGTGCAACCTTCTGCCTCCCGGGTTTAAGCGATTTTCCTGCCTCAGCCTTCTGAGTAGCTGAGATTACAGGTGTGTGCCTCCACTCCCGGGTAATTTTTTTATTTTTAGTAGAGATGGGGTTTTGCCATGTTGGACAGGTTGGTTTCAAACTCCTGGCCTCAAGTGATCCACCCACTTCAGTCTCCCAAAGTGATGGGATTATAGGCATGAGCCACTACACTCAGCACTTTTTTTTTTTTTTTTTTAAGAAGAATTGGTGGACCTTATACCTAGGAGATTTTAATCTGTGCAATTGTGACGGAATGCTGAATAGATCTTTTCTTGTAACGATTTGCTTTTCTCTTGATTTCTGAATTAGTGAATAAGATTCAAATATTAACACAAAGAGGTGATGATTACTCCCACATTCTAAAGAGAGTCAACACTGAAAGACACAGATAGTGGCCTTGGATTTAAACACAGGCAGTCAAAATTATTCCATTTTCCCAAGTATTTCCCCCATTAATCTAACAAAATGTACAAAAAAGATGAAGATTTGAGGGTATATATGGGAATGGTGGCTTATTGGCTTAGAGAAAGAGTTTCATGGCTTTTCTCTCCTTTCTTGTTCAGTAGTATGAGGATCTGTTTTTGCCTTCTCTTTACAGTCAAATAAGAAGGGTTAAAAGAAAGACCAGCATCTCATTACTGATTGACCATTTACTTAGGAAGAGAATTCTGAAATGCCTTCTGCTCTTTTTAGTGGAGGATGGGATGCGGGTGATGTCCCAGCAGAGAAAAGAAGCCACACCTACTAGTTTTGGGTAGTGAGGCTGAGAGATTTCATGTGTGTTAAGTAAACATAGAAGAAAGAAGCCAGCCTTGAGCAGCCTAGTCAAGACTGGCTACTTTTTTCTATGTTTACTTAACACACCTGGACAAAGAGGGAGTCCCAGAAATATGGGAATTCCTTCTATGTTTACTTAATAAAACCTGGACAAAGAGGGAATCCTAGAAATATGTGACTCTACAATATCTGGCCAGAAAAGTTGGCTGAGGGTATACTGCTGAATGTCAAGCATGGAAAATTTTCCTACTGGCCCATAACTAAAGCAGTCCACAAGGTGGCCTAAGACTGCTCACAGGCCCCAGGAGATGGTCAGGCTCTGAATATCTGTGACACAGGTCTCAGAACATAACCAGAGTCTGAATTCCTATGACATAGGCCCTCCAGTGTGCCCAGAGGCTGCATACCTGTGTTTTGACCGCTTAAAGAAGACCATGGCAGCACTTGTTAATAAAAAGATAATCTGATGTTTTTGTTTATCTTTTTCCTACAACATAAAGAGTAAGGAACACAGAAAAGAGAAAGAAGGGGAGTTATAGAAGAGGCCACACCTCTCCCTACTGCTGATTTTCAGCTGAAACTTGGCTAGCGAAAGTGGGAAGAGTGAGCATTATTTAGATAAGAGGAAGTCAAGCAGAGAGAAACAGCTCCTTTTTTAACTACAGAAAGAGACAGAAAAGCTATGGTACTTGGGTGAGATGTGTTAGAGGCAGTAGGGTAGATTTCCTCAAGCACAGTTGAAAGGAATAATGGGGGAAAAAACATTTTAATTTTATATCCAATTATACAGGTTTTTCAACTATTGCTTTATTGTTTTTTGTTGGTTTGCTCTCTCTATACATATACACACACATATGTATATATACATGTGTATATGTATGTGTGTGTGGGTGTGTGTGTGTGCATGTGTGTATCAGAAGCTCTTCATTCAGTATGAAAATTATCCATGCGAATTTCATGCAGTACCGATCTCCTGGTAAGAAATTCTTGTAGCTTTCTAATGAAAGTGTCTTTTGTTTTGCCTTCATTCTGGAGAGATATTCTCACCTTAAAGACAGTGTTTCACTAGCTTCAGGACTCCACTCTTTTCATGCGAAATCAGAGATCATTTGATCTTCCGCCTTTGTAATGATTTGCTTTTCTCCTTATTTCTTTAGGACTTTCTCTCTATTTTGGTGTGGTTTCCTTTGCATTTATCCTGTTTGGGCTTTGCTGAATTTTGAATATTTACATTTATATCTTTTAACATACCTAGACAAAAAACACCAATACACTTTCCAGTCAAACATTGCCTGATGTTCAGACTTAAATATGTGTTCTTTGGAGAACCCTTGAAAATATCTGTGAGTGTTGGTCCAATACAAGCTATCATGTTTTAAAAATAAGAAATTCAATCAAGAGGGCAGGATAAATATAAGGTCGCTGATACTACTTGATATTCAACCCTTTTCCAACCCAAGGTTTATGGCAAAATAGTTTGCAGGGAAATGCCTTTATTGTTAAGAATGTATATAATATTCTGTCATGTACATGACCTTTTTTCTCAAAAAATGAATAACCACTGTTGAAAGGTAAATATATGCCTTAGACAATAAAAAAGTAACCTAGTTTGCTCTGCTCTGAAATTTACATCTATAGCAATTTGGGAAAGGGCTTAATTAGAATCATAAAATTTTAATGGGAAGGGAAGTTGAGTATCACTCTATTCAATTTGAGAGATGAGAAAACTTTGACCAAAGTCACATTAAGCATTAATTATTCCATTCCATAAACATTGGCTGAGCTTCAGTTATCTGCCAGATACATGTTGTATATATGCTAGATCTTGAGTACACCTAAAGGGTGAAAAATGAATTCACAAGCTAATACACAGAGACAGGCTAATAATTTAGATGTGTAGGTATCTAGTTCAGTGCTTGCTTCAGAATGAAAATAACTAAGCCAAACGAATGGGTCCACTATTATAGTCTGGAGAACAATAAAATTTATTTATTTTTTTCAATTATAAGGAAAAGGGAAATAAAAACTCAAATCCCTCTATGGAATGCAATCCAGTAGAACCTGATTTACTTTTATCATCTCAGTTAAACATTAGTATCACCTTTTGAGAGCACTACAGAAAAAAAGGCAACCAGTGGCTTTTAGTGACTACTTCTAGGGTTTCAAATATCTTTGGTTCAAGAAAAGCAGTTATTTCCTCCCACGTAATCATTTATTATGATTTTTAAAAAATTCTGGAGGCTTGCATTACTGGATTTCATAAAACTATTCAGGATGCTAATTATTGTTCTTAAAATGTTGGATAAATGGAAAATACATATTCTACTACACCACAAGTAGTACTTTTTGCCATAGGACAAATGAAAGGTATTAATTTGAGTTTAATGATCAAGTCACAAAAAAAGTAGAAGTTAACTTTGCATAGTGTGTTTTGCAACTCTATTTGAAAGGTAACGTAAGTTCAAGAGACCAACGAGTGTAAACTAAAAATGTTCCCTAATACTCCTATCCCGAATAATTACACAAAATTATTGAAATCTAAGTAATTGTGAATGCTAAAACTTTTTAATGTAAGGAGATCAGTTCATGTTTTCATTAATATTTGTCCAAAGAGACCTAAGATTCTTTCATTATTTTGGTACAATTTATGGCTATGACCAAATAAGAAGACTAGATTTTACTCAAAGTTAATAGAACAATGAAACCGACATGGAGTGGAGGGAGTTTTACTACAGAAAGAAGGCAAAGAAAGTCATATTGCATTCTCCAAAGTGAAAAATATGAATTTTACTTTATTCTTTCAGTACCTTAACTCATATTTATTTACCTCTATTTGTAAAATATTATGCAAGGTGCTATGGGGAATAAAATGATTCAAAGATAGATATTTCCTGAAAGATATTTAGAGATTAAGAGCAAAGATAGAAAATATATGTAAACAATGAAAACATAAGTATACTTGGGGCCCCACTGCTGCATAAGCGGCAAGCAATTCACAGTAACAACAGTGTTAGGGTGCAGCCACTGGGTATCATTTCCTGAGCACATAATGGGCTTCCTAGGAGCTATAACACTTTTAAGTTACGGTAATTTTGGGTGGGGGTTATCATTTTTCTTAAAAAAGAGAATCTTTGTACAAATAAATTTGATAAAAACGTTATTAAAATTGTTTGACAGCAATTCATTCAGGTAAGTAAGAAGGTACATGAGCTACCCTACTGATGACTGGTTGCTCTTCAGAGCAACCATGGGCCAATCATGGTGCAGGCCTGAGAGAAGTCATCAGTGGCCTTCACTCAAACCTGGAATGGGGTAATGGAAGGGGACTCTGTAACAAGAGTCCCATTCTAGACCTCCTTGGTTCCGAAGGTGCATTTGGATCTCTGGAATAGCAATTTTCTAGAAGGAAGCTCTTTTAGAATCCAAAGATCCTTGACTTTTCTATTCCATCTCCTCTGATTTTTTTTCTCTACTTGGTGAAGATATTTATATTAGCATGGTGTGGGCTGAGAATAGATTCTTGATTAAACAAGGATTCTAGATTACCTCAGAGCAGGTTCAATATGGGCCATTCTCAGGAACTTGCTTGAGTTTGAGAATGACCACCATCTTCCCTATTTCAAAGAGAAAAATAAACATACACACTGACACACACACACACACACACACACACACACACCCCAGTCTCTTGGCATTCTGAAACAGACAAAATCACTGATTTGTACCAGGAGTTTCAGCAGACTATACAGGTACCATTCTTGCTCTGGACATTTTTGATCCCTGAGGATCAAAGTCTCTGGGAAACCATCTAGACCCAATTAGAACCATAACCAGGAATTAATTCATTATTTTATGTCTGCTTTTTATCTCTTCCTCTATTCTACAAGCATTTACTAGGTGGTACTTCTCAGAGAGGGTAGCCCATAAGATGACTTTTGTAGTACGTGCAAAAGGCAACTAGAGCTTGTGATGAGGAATCTAATACAGGGGATGGACATGTGCAGAGGTGTGATAAGTTTGAGATGACACAAGTAATTCGATATGTTTTAGACCACAGTGAGGGAGAGGGTGCGACAGCAACACCAAGCCATGATGGGCTTTATCTACTCTATATTAGACTGGGGCTTTCTCCTGAAAGTTAGAGACTCATTGGAAGATATTATCAGGAGAGAGGTATGAACAATCTGCCATTTTATAAAGAATCCCTCTAGAAAATTTCTAATAATAATTGGCAGTCTATACTTTTGAATGAATTAATGAATGATGAGGGCTGTATCTAAGCCAGTGACAGATGAAGAAGAGAAGCAAATCTAGAGATAACAAAATTATATACTCTATAAAACTTGGAAAATAATTGAAGTGTGGTTTGAAAAACAGAGAAATCAAGTATTCCTATGAGAAAACAAAGCTAGCAAAACATGAAACAAAACCCTGGGTTTCATGTAAGGCTTTCCAACCATAGTCTCCCACATGGACAAGACTATATTTTGAATATACATATGCTGATGCTATCTATCCATAATTGGCATTTATTGAAGCTACAGGTGAAAAGTGGGTACTGTGAGACCTATTTAATATTGCCTAGATAGCCCTCCTACAACTTCTTGGGTGGATTTTCCATTTAAATCATGTCCTCAAAATTTCTAGGAAAATTGGCTTATTGTCCTAGCAAAAACAGCTGCTTTGATTTAAACTGTTCATATATAAAAAGCCACAACACAAGCTTAGTAATAGCACCAATTTTTTTAAAGCCACAAGCAACCCACAAATGATAAAACAAGATTCTTTGTCTATTTTTAACATTTGTTTTAATATCAATAGCAACACATTTTGAAATGAATAATTTCATTTTTTCCTAAGTTATTTTCAAATGCAAATTTCTAAAAACATTCTGAGGAAAGTCTTTGGAATCTTTCAACTTAATAAACTCCAGCTGCCTTAAAGAAAACTGATTTACTCTTATGCTATTTGTTTGAACCTCTTCTGATTTGAGATGTAATTGAATTGGTCCAGAGTTATAACACAGGAGAAAAACCCTAAGAGGATTTGAGGAAGGAGGATGTAATGTTTAAAATTACATTTCAGTTAATATGAAGGATAGCCATATAGATTTTGAAAATGTCACAGCATTGAACTCTGAACAAGTAATCCCACAGTATATATTTGCAAACCTGAAAAAACTGTACTGTAATTTTTAGTTTTGGAAGAGATGGGAAAGGAGTATGTTCAGTTATCCTTCAAACTATTTTTAAGCATTTTAACTAGATAGATCTCATGTTGTATTTCTATATTCCATGTGGCCAAGTTTCATTTATTGACATTGCAAAGTATGCTAAGCATGTATGTAAAGCAATTTCAACCCATGTTTAGTTGAATAGAAATGTATTATTCACTAACAGATTACCAGGCCCTCAGATCATCTTCCCTGTACACTTTGTTCATATTTTGCATTATAAAAAATTTTTATTTTGAAGTAATTTTGGATTTATAGAAAAGTTCCAAAAATAATGAAAGGAGTTACTTTATATCCCTCAAGCTGCTTCACCTAATGTTAACCTTTTACCTAACCATAATATAATTATCAAGAAAAATAAATTAACATTGATACATTATTAACTAAAGTACAAATCTTATTCAATTTCTACTAGTTTTTCCACTAATGCTATCTTACTGTTCCAGTATCCCATATTGTATTTAGTTATAAACCTCATCAGTAAGATATGTCAACATGATGTACCCCGATATAATGCACCGATAAGGACACTGTATCAGTACATTTTCACACTGCATCAGTTCATTTTCACACTGCTATAAAGAACTGCCTGAGACTGGGTAATTTATGAAGAAAAGAGGTTTAAGTGACTCACAGTTCCACATGACTGGGGAGCCCTCAGGAAACTTATGATCATGGCAGAAGGGGAAGGGGAAGCAAATACCTTCTTTACATGGTGGCAGGAAAGAGAAGAGTAAGGAGCAAAGGAGGAAAAGCCCTTTATAAAACCATGAGATCTTGTGAGAACTCACTCACTATCACAAGAACAGCATGGGGGAAACTGCCCCCATGATACAAGGGCCTCCTACCAGGTCTCTCCCTAGAGACGTGGGGATCTTGGAGATTACAATTCAAAATGAGATTTGGGTGGGGACACAGCCAAACCATATCATTCCATCCCAGCACCTCCCAAATCTCATATCCTCACATTTCAAAACACAATCATGCCTTTACAACAGTCCCACAGATTCTTAACTCATTCCAGCACCAACCCAAAAGTCCAAGTCCAAAGTCTCATCTGAGACAAGGCAAGTCCCTTCTACCTAGGAGCCTGTAAAATAAAAAACAAGTTAGTTACTTCCAAGATACAGTGGGGGCACAGGCACTGGGTAAATACACCCATTCCAAATGGGAGAAATTAGCAAGAACAAAAAGGCTACAGGCCCCATGCAAGTCAGAAATCCAGCTGGGCAGCCATTGAATCTCAGAGCTTCTAAATAATCTCCTTTGACTCCATGTCTCACATCCAGGTAATGCTGATGCAAGAGGTGGGCTCCCGTGGTCAGGGGCAGCTCTGCCCTGTGGCTTTGCAGGGTACAGCCTCTCTCCTGGCTACTTTCATGGTTTGGCATTGAATATCTGTGTTTTTTATAGGCACATGATGCAAGCTGTGGGTGGCTCTACCATTCTGGAGTCCGAAGGATGGTGGCCCTTTTCTCACAGCTCCTCTAGGCAGTACCCCAGTGGGGACTCTGTGTTGGGGCTCCAACCCCACATTTCCCTTCTGCACTGCCCTAGCAGAGGTTCTCTATGAGGGCTCTGCCCCTGCAGCAAACTTCTTCCTGGACATCCAGGTGTTTCCATACATCTTCTGAAATCTAGACAGATGTTCCCAAACCTCAATTCTTGACTTCTGTTCATCTGCAGGCCCAACACCCTGTGAAAGCCACCAAAGCTTGGGGCTTGCACCCTCTGAAGCAACGACCTGAGCTGTATGTTGGCCCCTTTTGCCACAGTTAGGATGAAGGGCACCAACTCCAGAGACTGCACAAAGCAGCAAGGCCAGGGGACCCAGCCCACAAAAATATTTTTTCCTCCTAGGCTTCTAGGCCTGTGATGGGGCAGGCTGTTATGAAGACCTCTAACATGCCCTGGAGACACTTTCCCTATTCTCTTGGCAATTAACATTTGTCTCCTCACTACTTATACAAATTTCTGCAGTTGGCTTGAATTTTACCCCAGAAAATGGGTTTCCCTTTTCTATTGTATTGTCAGCCTGAACATTTTCCAAACCTTTATGCTCTGCTTCCTTTTCAAACATAAGTTCCAATTTCAGATAATCTCTCTGAAGTTCAAAGTTCCACAGATCTCTAGGGCAGGGACAAAATGCCGCCAGTCTCTTTGCTAAAGCATAGCAAGTGTGACCTTTGCTCCAGTTCCCAATAAGTTCCTCATCTCCATTTGAGACCACTTCAGCCTGGACTTCATTGACCATATTACTATCAGCATTTTAGTTAAAATCATTTCACAAGTCTACAGGAAGTTTTAAACTTTCCCACATCTTCCTGTCTTCTTCTGAGCTCTCCAAACTGTTCTAAGCTCTCCTGTTACCCAGTTCCAAAGTCACTTCCACATTTTAGGATATCTTTATCCAATACTCTACTCTTTACAGTACCAATTTACTGTATCGGTCCACTTTAACAGTGCTATAAAAATCTGCCAGAGACTGGATAATTTAGAACAAAAAGAGGTTTAATTTACTCACAGTTCCACACAGCTCGGGAGGCCACAGGGAACTTCTAATCATGGTGGAAAGAGAATGGGAAGCAATGACCTTCTTCACATGAGAGCAAGAGAGGGAAGAGTGAGGAGTAAAGGGAGAAGAACCCCTTATAAAACCTCAGATCTCATGAGAAATCATTCACTCTCACAAGAACAGCATGGGGGAAACTGCCCTCAGTATCCAATCACCTCCTACCAGGTGTCTCCCTAGACATATGGGGATTATGGGGAATACAGTTCAAGATAAGATTTGGCCAAACCATATCAGACACAATAACATTTTTTGGGGGGTATTCTTGACAAAAATGCATACCTTCTATCCAATTATAAGAGAACAACAGTCTAATCAAAATTGAGGAACATTTGAAAAAAATAACTTATTAGTACTCTTTAAAAGCATCAAGGTCATGAAATACTGAGTAGCTATTATAATCTGGAGAAGGGAAAGATTAAGGATAAATAACAACATACTTTTCTCTCTCTCTTTTTTTTTTTTATGCATTGGAGCCAGAAAACAGAGCAATTAAAAAACAGAAGAAGGGCCAGTCATGGTGGCTTAACCTGCAATTCTAGCACTTTGGAAGGCTGCGTGCGGTGGGAGGGTTGCTTAGGCCCAGAAGTTCAATGTTGCAGTAAGCTATGATTCTAGCCTGAAGGACAAAGGGAGACCCCTTATTTAAAAAAAAAACAAAAACAAATAGAGAAGGAAGCTCTAGCATAACAAAACTAATGGAAGAGGGATGGGATGGGAGCTTCTGCCTTCAACAGCTTTGAGGCTTGCAGGGATTCATGGTCACCTTTCATGGAATCATGAAATGTGTTGCTGATGGCAGAAGGTATAGTCCTCCTAGAATCCATTTTTCTGTTTGAGCTTCTAATATATCACATCAGTTGAGTGAATAAGTGGAGTTGAAGGATCTCTACTGCGACACATTAGATTCCATGGGAAGGAAATTAGAATGACCATGTTGAACACTAATTTTTGTGCCAGAAGCCTTGCAAAAGAGAGGAAACCTGGCAATGAGCCTCAGGATCTGATATTTATTTTGTTCAACGGAGATTAGTCAGGTATACTGAGTCTGGATGAATAAAAATCAAAATCAGAGAAGTTGAGAAACAGAAGGCAGATCCACAGGAACCAGAGGTTGGGGAAGGTGGAGGCCATGATACCAGAGAAACCAGAAGCAGCACACTTACAGTTTTAGTGATGTGTGTCCTCAGATGTCCCTTGAGTTCTCTAATACAGAATCACACTTCACCATTCCTAAACCCACAGTTCCTATTTCTATGAGACCATCTTCAGAACAAACTCTAAAATAGATTGCCCTAAAAACTAAGGGGATTATATACAGATTTTTGAGTGCTCTTGAAATCTGGGGTATTTTATACATAATTTTGAGCCTGGGAGTATGTCCCTGTTTCTGGATCTTGATTTATTAGAATACCCAGATTTTCCATGAACCAAAACAAATAAATGAAAACCATGGGAACCATCCCTTGATTGGAAAAGGGACAAGAGTCATTGTAATTGCGTATATATTTCTGTCAGTAATAATAACTCACAATTAATTTGACCACAACTATGCGCCAATTGCCAGGTAATTTACATACATTATCTTGCCTAAGTCTCAGAAAAAAACTATGAGTTATAATTATTTCCATGTTGCAATTTGAAGAACTAAGGTCAAGAGAAGTTAATCTCCTTCCTAGACGACGCTTAGTAAGAGCTACAGCCAGAATTAGCATCAGGTCTCTAAGAGTCCCAAGCTTAAGACGTTTAAAAAACATCAAGCTGTTCTTTGGGACTTCGTATTTTATTGCAAATCTACTTAAATACAAGAAAACACTACACTCCCTTAATATTATAAAAGTTTTATTTTTAGTGATTCCAGTAAATTGGAGGAAATTGTCTATTTGCCCAGCAGCTACAAATAAAACAAAGGTATTTCAGCACCCAGTTTTTTTAAAAAATTGACCTGCTTTCATCATTATAAATTTTCCAGCTTCCTCATCGGAAATGTCCATATAGTCCTTTGCTACCACAATTTTTCTGTTACAGAAATTCTATTGATATAACTACTGGAGATTTTTTACTAATATACCAATTGATTCATTGATGTTGACAAATTGCCAACATCAATGAAGCCCTGAGCCTTCTTTTGCCTGGGAAGTATTCTGCAACTGTGTTCAAATAAATTCAAATAAAATACTCCTACTGCATCATTATGGAGTTTTATTTACAGAGAACTGCCTCAAAATTATAATATTATAAAAATAATTGATATTTTGAAAATAAAATCAATGAGATGGTAGATGTAAGGAAAGAGAAATAAGAGTATGTACAACCAATTCTAATTCCCAAATAAAAGCAAAACTAAATCGTGGGATCATTAGACCCATGATCATATTCTTTAATTGCTAAACTGTAAGTTTTAAAACAAGTTTTGGTTCACAGCAAAATTGAGTGGAAGATACAGAGAATTCCCATGTATCTCCTGTTCCTACAATCACACCACCTCCCCTACTAGCAACACCCCTCACCCAAAATGGTACATCTTTTACAATCAATGAACCTACATTGACACATCATTATCACCCAAAACCATAGTTTACATTAGAGTCCACCCTTGTTGTTGGACATTGTATGGGTTTTAACAAATGTGTAATGACATGTATCCATCATGGCAGTGTTGTACAGAGTAGTTCCAGTGTAAACACTGCCATGGTGGATACATGTCATTATTCTCCGTACTCTATTTATCCCACCCTCCGCCAACCTCTGGTAACCAGAGGTTGTATATTAATCCTTGTAATATACAGTTTTGTCTTTTCCAAAATGTAATACAGTCAAAATAATATTGTATGCAGCCTTTTAAGCTTGGCTTCTTTCACTTAGTAATATGCATTTAAGTTTCCTCCATGTCATTTCATGGCTTGATTGTTCATTTCTTTATATTGCTGAATAATCTATTCCATTGTCTAGATGTGCTACAGTTTATTCACTCACCTACTGAAGGACATCTTGGTTGCTTCCAAATTTGGCAATTATGAATAGCACTTCTGCAAACATCTTTTTGCAGGTTTTTGTGTGGATATGAGTTTTTTATTCATTTGAGTAAAAACCAAAAAGTACAATCACTAGATCATACAGTCAAAGAATGTTTATTTTTATAAGAAACTGCTGAACTGTCTTCAAAGTGACTCTACTACCCACGATCATATTTTCGGAGATAAAAAGATCTCTATGTTAATTATTTTCTCATTTTTAAGATAACCAAAAAACCCATAAGTCTTTTCATAAAAAAACTGTGAGTTTAAAATGTATGAATACTCTCCTTCACTGGAGATCAATTGGATCAGAATCTCCGAAGGGTGATGTTCAGGTACCGATACATATTTTAGGAGTGCCTTGATTATATTACATAGCTGGGATTGAGAATTGTTGATGTAGGTTATCTGGGCAGCCACCCAACACCATACACCACCACCTGAATGCAGTGCTGCCATTGCATTTATATTTATACTCATATTTGTAACAAATAATCTAGTAACACAATGATATTTAACTTTTCATGTTTCAGTAAGTATAACTGGCTATCATTAAGCTGCTCTGTTCTATTATCAGAACGACAGATTTACAAAGGCAGCCTTTTATTCATGTTGAGTTATTTTTCCAGTTGTAAAATCACCTCCCACCCTTTTATTGTGCTAGTCATTCAAAACTAGAAAATATTTTTGGAGGAATAACACTGGAGTTTAACAAATGACTTTTTAAAAATTAGACTTGCAATAGCAAAAACAACATAAAGTAAATATTATGCATTTTAAATGTTTCTGGCAACTAAGAAAGGAACAGAGACAGACATGAAATGAAAACGACGAAATTGTGGCAAGTGAAGTTCCAATGACCTTGGAAAATGTTACCAGTAATACTTCACAATATATACAAGTGATGGAAAAACTGAATCATGGAATATTATGCGGTTCTATACACATCTGCACCTCAAAAGATGTTAGAAGTTAGTACTATTTCAACTTGAATGCATACCATCTATGTGCTAACTTGTAATGATCTATTACTAGAAATGTTATAATAGGTAGTCAGGCAGGGATGAGCAGGGCAGGACAGCTCCTCAACCCCTCCACCAGGAATGTCAGACGGCTATCATGCAACTGTCAGGCGGTTGTTAAACTGTCCCTCTAAAACAATAATTGGTCACAGCTGGTGCTGTGGAAGGGCAGGCTCCCAATAGATAGAAAACACCTGAAGCTGGTGATTAGCCAGCTAATCTATCTGAGATCCAGATAAGATCTCAGGAGTTGGGTGAGTGGGCTCATGCATGTGCACTAAGAAGTAAACGAGGTTTAACCGGTATATGACCTTACAGGAACACTCAACTAATAAGGGAAGAATATCTCAAGTGAGCATGCTTACAACTTCAGTAAACATGCTGTGCATGCAGCCCCAGCCCCTCCCAAGTGCTGGCAGGCCACAGTGCATAAGGACAGCCCACCCCAAGGGAAGAATCAGGGGAGAAGGGACGCAAGAGCCAGGACGGATGTCAACATATGAAACCATAAGTCAAAGGTCAAACTGTGTACTTGATCTCTCCAGTCGCCCACTTGGCCCTCTTCCAAGTGAACTTTGCTTTCTTTCATTCCTGTCCTAAAACTTTGTAATAAACTTTAACTCCTGCTCTCAAACTTGCCTCGGTCTCTCACTCTGCCTTACACTCCTTAGTCAAATCCTTTCTTCTGAGGAGGCAAGAACTGAGGTTGCCGCAAACCCACAGGGATTTGCTACTGCTAACATACTTTGGTGCCATGTGACTCGGATACGTTCTGCTGCTACATGCGAGAGTATACAATGAAAACACAACAGGAACATTAGAGTAGGTGTCCCGGAGACACTGGGACTCCTATAACAGACAGCTTTAGCTGAATGACACCCCAGCGGCCTTGTTGAATCTTCTGTAGGCAGCCCAGCAGTCTAAGACCCTCCAGTCAACCTTCTTTCCTTCCTTCATAAGTGATCGTGTCAGAACCATAGCAAACTCCATCTTGAGTGAGGGCTAGGAAAATGATGCTAGGACTTGCTGGGCTGGATTCCCAGAAAGTCAGGTACATTCGTAACTTCTAGATTTTTAAAGTTAAGGGAACAGATTGATAACATTTACTAAACAAACGCAGACTTAGGAGTGTCCTGATATCCCGATATCTTGAGAACAGAAGCATTCCTAATTTTGCTTTAAAGATAATAATATAGATTCTTGCAAAATATAGTAATTAAGAAAATGAATCCTTTATCACAAACCTTTTTGGCAGAGTACATCCCCCCCATGATCTTATTTTATCCTACATATAAACAAGCATTGTACCTAGGGTGGGCGTGTTCCTCCCCTTGCTCTAGGGAACACCCTACTCGGTCTATGGAGTAGCTATTGTTTCACCCCTTTACTTTCTTAAGAAACTTGCTTTTGTTTTGCCCTGTGGACTCGCCTTAAATTCTTTCTAATGTGAGATCCAAGAACCTTCTCTTAGAGACTAGATCAGGACCCCTTGCCGGTAATAGTCAGACTTCTGTCAGGCTCCCTGGTTCCCTCCCATTTTTTCTCACAGGCATTTCTCTTAATAAAATTCTTGCATGTTCACGTGGGCAGCTATTTCACAGCAGATCCAGACTGGAACATAAACCAATAAAAAAAATTGTAATTTGGTGATTGAAACAAGATTGTTTTCTTCAGCAAACATGATTTATCATATTAAATTGGTGATAATTTTAATATCCAGTAGCTACTTTTGTTTATAGGTAACTTTAAAAAAAACTATCTTATATTACTACTAGGACTACTGAAAGCTTTTGTTTTTCCTTTTAAACTGGTGTGTATGTCATTTAAATTAGAGAAATGCTGTCCTAACTAAGCATTCATTTGCTACAATTCTCTGCAGCTGAGGCGGAGAGTGAGCGTCATTTCTGTGAGGTTGCTTTTATCAAAAAAACTCCAATTAAATTGTTTTTCAGTTCAGCTACTTGTTAATTGCAGATCAAGTTGCATAGGCTATGTCCAAGCGTGGTTCACCATTGTGAAAATCCACCCTCACTATGAAACAAAACCACCACCGTCCGCTAACATGTGTTTTACCAAATGCATCAGCTCCACCCAGTCTGGCTCATTCACTACAACCCAATTTTTAAACACTGCTCAGAATGTTGTTTCAACTATTTGTGCCCATTCTGGCTGCCTTCTCCAACAACTGGGAAAGCCTAGAGGCCAATAAACAAGTAAACTTGGATAGCCGCAAACCACAGTGCCCCAAGTCTAAACTACTGTGTTGCTTACTTAGCATACCTCATACTGGGGCACAGCCAGCACTAGTCTTAGCTGGAGGCCCTAGATGAAGCCCATAGGATGTGGCATTGTGTGACTTAACATATGTAAAAAGCTCTTTCTTCCAGTGTGAAGATTCTGCAGTGAATATAAAGCAATGTTCCTTTGGTTGCTCCACAGGGCTATTACCACTGCTACCATATTTAAACATTCTTTGGGACCTTTGAGATCTAACCCTCTCATCCTTTTCTAGGACAACTGTGGGGAGAAGAGAATGGGTAAGGAAGAAACACACAGATTCTTGGCACAGCTCTCCTGGTTACTGACTTTTAAAGTGAAGCTTTCAACTAATAAGTGAACAGAAAAAAAATGCAGACTCAGTTTTAGTCTTCTTGATCACTGAATAACTCTGAACAGAGTAGAATGTGCCACTAAGAGTTTAGACTCTGCTGACCTTGACACTCTGTAGACTCTCCGGAGGAGCAAGAGGGAAACATCTAGAATAACCACAGTGCAGTATCTCAACCAGAAGACTGGGGCTGGCACAACCCACCTCCCCGGACAATACAAAAAGAACTTATGGGGTAGTGTAACTGCCCAATGGGTTCTTTTTGCCCATTGCCTAGACAAAGCCAATTTATCAAGACAGGAGAATTGCAATAGAGAAAGAGTAATTCATGTGGAGCCAGATATATGGGAGACCAGAGGCTTATTAAATATTAGACTCAAATTATTCTCCCTGAAAATTTGGGGATTCTAGTTTTTAAGGATAATTTGGTGGACAGAAGGCCAGAGAGTTGGGAGTGCTGGTTGGTCAGGTCAGACATGAAATCACAGGGAGTCGAAGTTGCACTCTTGACCTGAGTCAGTTCCTGGGTGGAGGCCATGAGAACAGATGAGCCAGTTTATCGATTTGGGTAGTGTCAGCTGATCCATCAAGTCCAGGGCCTGCAAAATATCTCAAGCACTGATCTTAGGTTTTACAATAGTGATGTTATCCCCAGGAGCAATTTGGGGAGGTTTAGAATCTCGCAGCCTCCAGCTGCATGACTCCTAAACCATAATTTCTAATCTTGTGGCTAATTTGTTTGTACTGAAAAGGCAGTCTAGTCCCCAGACAGGAAGGAGTTTTTTGGGGGAAAGGGCTGTTATTGTCTTTGTTTCCAAGTTAAAGTATAAACTACTTTCCTCCCAAAGTTAGTTTGGCCTACACCCAGGAATGAACAAGGACAGTTTGGAGGTTAGAAGCAAGATCGAGTCAGATTGTTCTCACTTTAATAATTGTCTCAGTTACAATTTTTGCAAAAGTAGTTGCATTAGTACCCAAGTATCAGTCAACCCAGGTGACTCCACTTCTCAGTCAAGTCTAGGAACTGTTAGTCTAGGTTTAAGACATTAATTCTCACAATTGCTCATTCATCAAAATTATCTGAACACTTACTAATAAAATGATGGCTGGGCCTCACCCCCAGTTTTTTATTTAGTAGCCCTTTGTGAAGAATTTGCATTTTTAACGAGAGCATACCAATATAAGGTGCTCTAAAAGCCCAAATTCTCCTCTTACCTTCTGTTCCCTGTGCCCGTTTGGAAAGATTTCAATGCTTTCCACTGTTGTAATGGTTAACTCTGAAAGGGAAGTGGGTGGGGCCTGAAATGCCTTAGTGCAGAGTGAGTGTTGGTACAGGATATGTTGATGCTGCCAGTTAGGGATTACACTTTGAGAACCAACAGTCCAGGGAATTCTAGGTTTTCTAGAAGGCCCATCTAGTAAACTTCTGCTCACTTTATATTGGCAACAACTATGCTACCTGGACGTGTCTATCCATAATGGAACTAGGATATTAAATATTTTCTTTGAGCACATTGTGCACATTCTGCCCCAAACAAAATCAGATTATCTTGAATAAGGAAGAAGGAGAGAACAGAGATCTGGAAGATGAGTACTTCCTAACATGTTTAATGTCATGCAAATCTAAAAATGATCTGATTTTTGTGGCATGCTGAAGGAAACAGGATTTTAGTGCCTTTGTGGCAGGCAGTATCCACTGGCCCCAGTGCTCCAGCCAACCTGAGTTCTGTCCATTCACCCAGAGGGCTGAGGGCATCCAAGCTCTGCCTGGTCAGATGGTGAAGCTCTGGATGGGCAATTGGTAGTGTCTGCTGGAGACATGTGCTAAGCTGAGCTCCTATTACCTAATTTGTTTGACTATTCCATTCTCTAAAGGAAAGATAAAGCTCTGATCAGCAACTCTACCAAACACCAACTTACATAGCAGTAGGTATGATGGAGAGTTAACTCCTAATGGCCTCTGCCCACAGCTGACTTCATCCAGAGGGGCACCAGTGGATTGTCTAGACCAGTAGGAGTAGAGGAGATATGTTAGCACTTTAATTTCATCCAGCTTCAATTTTTCTTTCTCAAACACCATTTTCTACAGATTTTTTTTTCCTCTGCAGAGATCTCACAAAATTCCTGGCTCACACCATGTGGCTTTAGCATTTTAGAATCATTGCTAGCAGATTAACTGAGTGACAGAGTGAACACATACCAATATAAAGGGCTCTAATACACCTAATTCTCCTCTTACCTTCTGCACACTGTGCCCATTTGGAATGATTGCAATGCTTCCCACTTTTGTAATGGTTGAATCTGAAAGGGAAGTGGGCTCTGAAATGCCTTAGTACAGAGCAATATTAAAAGATTTGAAAGCTTTTCCCTTGAAGCCACAGAATGTCCCGAAAGCTTCTGATTGCTTGACTCTAGTCTATCCCACACAGATTTGACCAAGTCCCTATTCTATCAGCCACATATGCACTGAAAAATATCTATCCTTAATCATTAAGACATTCCCACTGCTTCAAACGACCCTATGGCTCCTATAAAAGCTAAAATTATTTTCACTTGACAACATTCGGGCCTATGATTTCTTTCACTAAAAGAATAAGGTCCATCAGTAAAAATTACGTAAAAGTAATGGTGCATCCAAAATGTGTCCTATTGTATATAAATAAAATGTAAGGACTTCCAATATATATTGGTCTCCTTTGTTTGGGGAAAAAAAAAGAGAGGGATGGCTGTTGCTACACAGTCTTGATGACATTATTGCTGCTGCTCTCGGGGTGACCGTAGAAGACCTATTGCTGGAATGACGGACAGTGAGGGAGCCACACACTCACCACCCCTTGGCCTGAGGCTATAGCTGCAATTTTCAAGGCCTAGCATAGGGTAAAATGCTGCATCTTCGTTTCTCAGGCTGCTTAAACCTCTGCTCTAAATTGGCCACCCTGGATCTGAATGCCATCCACTGAGAGAGATTATCCAACAGCTCTGGACTCTTGAAGGGTAACAGTGGCTTTTTAATAAATGTAATCATAATCAGTAATTAGTAAATTCCATGTTAGATGGTGTAGTAATAGCCCTGTAATCACACAAAATTCTTACTTCTACCTTCTCTAAGCATTAATGTTTAGTATTAAAATTATTTAAAAGAATGTACTTATCATTGCCTTCCTAATTTTATAAAAATGAAGTTGTAATATTTCTGCTGTTTTCCATGAATCAGCCTAATTCCTTTCATACACATTGACATATTAGATATTTTACCTGATAATTGATAAAGAATACATCGCACTGCCCCAATTAGAATTAGTTGAGTTAATTCATCCAATAGCCTTTGTAGCAAGTATTTATTGAGTGTCTACTGCATGTTAGGTTCTGTGCTAATTGTATTGGGTGCAGCTGTGTACAAAACAGACATGGTTTCAGGACTCAACAAGCTCACATTATCCAGGAAATTCATTTATACAGGGTATATTTAATCATCTATGTTTCCTTATTAGGCTCTGGCAATTATGGGATACATTTATTTCAGGTAGTTTTCTAACTCTGGTGGCAAAGGGTAAGCAACTGAGGAAAAGCTTTCTCTCATATCCAGAGTGTATCCTTCTTTTGAGTTTTTCATTTACCTTCATTACTCTCCTTCTCTTTCTAATCCTTGATCCCCAGTCCACAAAGAAGTTAGTAAATTAATTGCTTATTTATTTCTGGCCTTTTACGAGATAGTGAACTGTGTTTTTCAGCATAGAGAAATGAACTTTTATGTGTTATTTCTGCCCATTCCTGGCATTCTGCCCTATTCTCTCAGTAAATACAGTAGTCGCCATCCCTGTGAGAGCTCAAGACATGTTGGATGGACGGATGGATGGATGAGTGGATGGACATGTAGCTGTGCTCAAGGAGAGAATCTGTTAGACTGGTGCTTCATGGAAGTAACCACGACTGTTTATTTAGTTCACATGGCTTTCCCATAAGTCCAAATTTATTTCCTCAGGTCTTAAAGGATTTGGTCAAGGCAGACCATCAGGCTCTTTACCAAATCGTATGGAAGGGAGATGATATTTTGGCATAAAGAAAAATGTTCCATAGAATTTGGAAGGTATCTCAGAGAACATCTAGTTCCACCCTGTGATATATAGATAAGAAAAGGAACCAAGAGAGGTGAAACATTCTGAGATTACATTGCCTGTTAGGCGCAAAACTACGACCACAACCCAGTATCCTCTATTCCCTGCCCCAGGTTCTTCCCAGTGCACAGTATGGACCTCATTTGTAAACAAGTGAAAATCAGGCAACATCATGATTGTCTTTGACAATTCAGTACAAATGTAAATGGACAGATGGTTCATGGGGGCTCCTGGAGGCCAGCCAAAAGTATGGGCAGAAGCACAGGGCACCTTGAATTTATATTTGCTTAAGAGGTTATAGAATGTTTACCCAGAATGTGTAGCAGATGCTGCGTCTTTCCATCTGCCTTAGTTATGCAGCTGAGACTGAAATTCTTTGTGGCCACGTCCTAAGTTAGCAACTTCGTTGTGTTTAGTCTCCACCAAAAGAAAATTTAAAAAGACAGAACAAAACAATGCTGACAAAAACTTGAGGTTTGGGAGCATCCAAAATGCTACTGAAACCATGCTAGATGTTCCTTAATTATAAATTAAGTATAAGTTTTAGTATAGTTGGGCACTTAAGAAAAAGAGCAATAGTACAGATGAGCATTAAGAAAAATTATTGAATATGTTAAAGAATGGCATTATTTTTGTTATCTAAATTAATAGTAAGATTGTATTTTTTTTTTCACTCAACACGTGTCACACACAGAGTAGTCTATATAATTTGAGAGGCAAATGGGAAACTCTGCCTGCCCCAAAACTAACTTACACAAATAGCAGCATAAGAAAATCACTCCCTTGGAGTTAAAAAGTCACCTCCAAGGTGCAAATAATTTGAGTGAATCATATCACGAAATTACATGTTAGAGCATCAATAGTTCATAAGTTGGTGCCCACACCTTTAACAAGATGCCACAAAATTGTCACTGATAGGGTGGGTTCCTCGTTGTTCTTGGTCTGACACCCTCAGCTATGTGAGTTTCATACTGTATGTGTTGTAAGACACCTTTCCTTTACTCTGATAATTTTTAAGACACTTTCAGTTAAGTGAAAGAATATCTAATGAAAACTAGGCTCTTGCCTCTGAATTCCTCTTGGGTTTTAGCCTTTGTGACTGAAATACGAAGAGGAAAAGAAAGCTTAAAGGGTGTGTTGGTTATTTCACTGTTTCTATGTGGTTCTCACATCTTCCCCCTGTTCACATGTCACCTGCATCCTTAAGATGCCTTCCTTATCATAAGACAATGGCCAGAGCCATTCTGCACCTCATATCTGCATCCCACACCACTCAAAAAAAAGAGACACCGTGTCTTCCCTGTTCTTCCCATGAGCAAAGTTATGAGATTCACTCTTATTGGGACAAGTTTCAATATATGCCCTTCCCTAAATGAATCACTGTGACCAGGAGAATGGACCATTCTGATTGACCGGAACTGACTGTGGCCAACACCCAGAACTGAGGTGTAACTGGCAGACATGAATGGCTGCTGGGATGACCATCACAGAGTACATTGTGATAGCTATTGTAATGTGTTAAATTAAAGAAGAAGGAAGGAATTCGTCTGAGGCTGGCTCTCCACTTTGAGTTCCTACATAATGAAGTTCAGCATAACTTGGACTGTAAACAAACCAAAACCTAATCAAGGAGTATAACAAATAGCTGAGTTTCAGCTAACTCCTCACTCCATGACCAAAAAAGGCAAGTACTCACCATGCTCAAATGAGGCAGACACCTAACTGTAGCCAAACAGGTAATTTTCCTACTTGGTTTCTACATTTGGCCTATAAAATCTGGCTGCTTATACTGCTACTGCTGGGCGGAGATCTCTGAACCTCCTCTGGTTCTGACGGCTACCCAATTCATGAATTGTTCTTTGCTCAAATAAACTCTGCTACATTTATTTAGTCTAAAGTTTGTGTTTTACTTTTAACAAGAGATATAGGAATTTTTGTGGTGATGGAGAAATAGGAGAAAAGATAATGATTTCAAAACAGGTCAGTGCCTGAGGAGGACAGATATAACAGATTCAAAGAGAAGAGTTCTATAATGCTAGTTTAATATATCTCTCAGTGGCAGAAGAAGGCTGAAGAAGCCTGCTTTGAGCTGAGACAGTTTCAGAAGGAGAGTTGACAAGGGCATGCATGATTGTTTATTGCACAATCGCAATAATTTACAGATGTTTTCTGCAAATATCTTACTCTAAGATATCAGAAGTATGTTTCAAGTACAAAAACATTCACATAATGGGCATTTTTCTCCTTACTATCTTCTTTCTATATGAGCATAGCTCAAATAGAATAACAATAGGATTCTGCTGTTTATTCACAGCATTCTGAGTAGAAAAAAATTTCAAGAAAAAGAATTAGTTTTCTTTCAACCTACTGACATTACTCCTATCCCTATTTTACTCTTCAAATATAAACATTTAAGGTCACAGTTATGATTTTTTTCATTAAAGTTTCATTTTTTTATGTGTGAAATCTTCACAGTGTAGAAGCGGAGGCTAAAACTTAGTGCTGCTTTTCTTTTCTTTGGTCCTATAAGGTCATAACGTATCCTTCCTGAGTCTCACCACAATGTGCCTCTTAATATGTCATAATATAATAGTATTTTATAAGGTTAATGCAGTGTCATAAATGCTGCAGGCAGAAATCAGTAACACAGAATAGAAACAGGAGCACTAATTTGGAAAATGTGAAATCTAAAATTCCACCAACTAACTAACTGTGAACTTTGGTCAAGTCATTCAATTTCTTACATCTTCGGTAGTGGTTTCTTCCTAAGATGGGAATATTAATACCTTACCTGTCTAAAAGCAGAGAACTGGATAAGATCATCTGTTGATTTCCCTTTAGGCTGAAAATATCTATAATTCTTAGGAAAAAGTCAACAAATGACACTTGAGAATGACATGGTAATAATCTTATGATATTTCAAAATGTTAGTATTAACATAAATGGGCTATTTGTCTATTCATTGAAGGTAAACAAATTACCACCGCAATGTAAGTTAACAAAAGGGCAGCATTTGTCTTGAAATTTTTTATCTCGTGTCTCAATCAATCATTCTCCTCCACTTTGGAGATCAGTTTTAGTTGTAATTTCTTTGTGATATGTCAGTACATAAGGTAAGAAATATATTTTCTACCAGGACAACAACAACAAACGTACGTAGAACTAATGACATCTCCTTCACTCTATAAACGCATTGGATATTTAAAATTCATATGTTAAAGGGCATTGCTATTGGCTTGATTACTCTTTTTACAAAACTGCTTTTGTAGTTAGCCATTTTCTTGATTGTCCTAAAACATGTGTTCAGTGTTAGAATTTGTTGCAGTAACCATAGTTTAAAACAAGTTTTCATTGTTGTTAATGTTATTATTTTTATTATTTTTTTTACAAATTGAACAGAAAGTCACTTAATGGAGAAGACGGGCTAAAGTAAAAAGAACTAAAAAGTGTGTTAAAAAAGTTGCATGCATTCAGTTCTGAGACTCGTGGGTTGCTTTAAATTGCTACTAAAAATATCTGCGCTAAAAGCTAATTTATAACACCTATAAATGTAGGTAAACATTCATTCATTCTTGCATGTATTTATTCATATACACAGAAATATCCATTATGTGGCAGACATTGTGCTGGGGGCTAGTTGTAGAAGAATGTGTGAACAGAAGCTACCCTGGTTTCATGGAGCTAGGGGGAAATTTAATTGACAGCACAAAAAAGGGTGCAATTATTCTACCTACAGAAACCTGAAAGAACTTCACAGATTTGAGTGGGAATCTTCAATATATTCATGATAGCTGAGTAGGTGGCATTTCCAGGGGGAAAGAGTGCTAAACTGGAAGGTAAGAAAACAGAATTCAGAATATAAGGGGAACCTTGCATTTTAAAGAACTGGTGGAAAAGGAGAGTTAGGAGGACAAAAGGCTAAGAAACCAAAAGAGAAGGAGGTAGGATCTCTCAGCGATCAGGGTGGAGAGGGTTTCAAGAAGTTGCTCAACTTCAAAAAGTGTAGAAAAGTCTGATAGAAAATAATGTAAAAGAGGCCTTAAGGGTTGGCATTCTGGTGGATATTGGTGATGTTTGGGAGCCACTTCCACAAAGTGGTTTTTTCACTGAATGCCCATTCTGGTCAGCTCTCAAACAGAGAAGTTACATTTTGATCATCAAAACATTTCCAAAAATCATAGCACTCAATTCGACACTGTGAGTTGAGCCTGTCTTTCCTTCAGTGTCACGGGGTCTTGACCACTTGCACGACCATGCGAAACAACATCCATGATACATGGTATCTTTCTTTAGCATGTCAAATTCATTACTGCCTTTTCCTATAAGATACTCAAATTTCCTGCCAAGGCCTCCTTCATATTCCTCCCTATATTCCACAAAAAGGAATTGTACAGATCTACCTATTTATTTCTTCAGAGGCTTGCAGTTGACAACTTGTCATCTTTCTCCTCTCCGTTTCACCAGTCTGAGAGAAGAAAACTAAAAACATTAATCACAATGATAACAAAGACAGTTTCATTTCCCATCTCTTGCCAAGAAGAATCCCTGGGACCCCACATCTCTTCTTAAGGACCTGAGACTGGGTTGGTGGACACTTCTCAGTTTGACAACAAGTGTCCAGGACCTGGCCTGAGCATTTCAAATCTCTTCTGCCTACCAGCTTCCCTACCTCTCTCCCACATTTTGAACAGTTTTTATCCTACGGTCTTAGGTTTTGAGGACTATTGCTGAAGCCAATTTCTCCTAGGATACCAATCAATTATTCAGAAAAATAGGATTCCTAATGCTCTACTATGGAATGCCAGAGAGCTTACAGTTAATACGAGGATAATGATCTGCCATAACATTTTCATATGTTTTGCTCTGTTTGAAATCAAGCAATGTGTAATTAAAATTGGAATCGTTCCTTGTTATATTATTATGGGTTTAATTAGAACCAATTTTAGATTCTCAAATAAGCATCATGTAATTTGCCCTATTAAATGAAAAGTATTAACCAATGTGATATTTTATTTGGCATTTCTTTTCTCTCTTGGATCTTACCTCTATTTTGATAGCAAAGTTTTTCTGGACTTAGACGTCAGAAAATGTATGTATGACGACAGAACAGAGGAAAATAAAATAATAATAATAAAATGAATTTTTCCCTGCCTGAATTTCAAAAGGTTCTGTTCATAAGATAATGAAGAAGACTCATGACCTAAACATATTTGGGGGGATAAAAATGGTGATATGGTTTGAATGTAACGCCCTCTCCAAATCTCTCATTGAAATGTGACCTCCAATGTTGGATGTGGGGCCTAGTGGGAAGTGTTTGGGTCATGGGGACAGATCCCCCATGAGTGCTTGTTGCTGTCCTCTGGGTATTGTGTGAGTTCTCACTCTTAGTTCATGCACTAACTAATTTTTCAAAAGAGCCCTGGCATCTCCTCTCCTTTTTCTCTTGCGTCCTCTCTGCTGCATGTGACACATCTGCTTCCCTTCACCCATTCACCTTCCACCATCGGTGGAAGGTTCCTGAAGCCTTCAACAGAAACAGATTCTGGCACCATGCTTCTTGTACAGCCTAAAGAACCATGAGCCAAATACATTTTTTTTTTTTTTTGAGACGGAGTCTTGCTCTGTCGTCCAGGCTGGAGTGCAGTGGCGTGATCTCGGCTCACTGTGAGCTCCGCCTCCCGGGTTCACTCCATTCTCCTGCCTCAGCCTCCCGAGTAGCTGGGACCACAGGCGCCTGCCACCACACCCAGCTAATTTTTTGCATTTTTAGTAGAGACGGGGTTTCACTGTGTTAGCCAGGATGGTCTCGATCTCCTGAACTCGTGATCTGCTCACCTCGGCCTCCCAAAGTGCTGGGATTACAGGCGTGAGCCACCGCGCCTGGCCTAAATCTCTTTTCTTTATACATTTCCCACTCTCAGGTATTCTTCTACAGCAACACAAAATGGACTAATATAGAGGATCAGATATTTTTTTTCTTCTACCATACCCTCCCAAGACTAAAAATAAATTTATTGGGCTAAGAAGATATAGGACACTTGAAATGGAAGAAAGTAGAGTTGGTAAGTACCCAAGGAAAAGGATTGATATTTTACTGCTTCCTACACTGAGCCCTTGGGAGGCAAAATATTTTAAGATAGTTTTGGGGTAATGAGAAAAGACGACATCTAAGTATTGTTCCTGGATAGAGTCCTAAGAGTGGTAATAGCCCACAGAGAAGAAATGTTACCTGCTCTGTCTATGTGGAATAGACCTTACAAAATTTTGCTGAGATTTCGAATGCCCCATGTATATAAGGTTGTTAAAGAAAGGACATCAAGAATCAGAACTGCATAGACAGTGTCCAGAAGGTCAAAGAATGGATGACTGTGGTGAAAGATGAATGGATGAGCATGGAATAATGGTCTAGAAGAGGCATCCATTATTGTGCCCATGTTCCATTGGTAAGAGCAATCACATTACCACCTACAACTACAGGGAGGGCTGGGATATATAGTCCCCAGCTGGGATAACACTAACCCAGCTGGGGACTACCTATATATTTGAGACAGGGTCTTGTTACATTACCCAGGCTGGAGTGCAGTGGTATGATCTCGGCTCACTGCAGCCTCGACCTCCTGGGCTCAGGGTGATTCTCCTACCTCAGCCTCCAGAGTAGCTGGGACTACAGGTGCACACCACCATGCCTGGCTAATTTTTGTATTTTGTAGAGACAGGGGTCCCACTTTGTTTCCCAAGCTGGTCTTGAACTCTTGGGCTCAAGTGATCCACTGCCTTGGCCTCCCAAAGTGTTAGCATTACAGCCGTGAGCCACTGCTCCAAGCTCAAAAAGGATATTTTTTGACAACACACTGAAGTCTCCACCACAGGTTGCCCATTTTACTACCAAATGTATATACAAATTTCTCCCCATTCATAAAAAAATACTGTCAGTATCACCCAAGGGAAATAACTAAAAACTCCCCCAGTTTACTTTATCCTGCTGAAATTTTATATTATCTGAATTATTGTCTCAGGCTTGGACAAAATACTAAAAAAGAATTCAATAGAAACCTTCATTCAGAAAATTGAAGTATAGAACAAACAGCAGACCAGTGAAACATTTCAAATCCTGAAGGGCAGGAATTGTATAGAATCCTTGGCCTGGAAGTTACAACTCAGTCCCTTGCTGGCATAACAGGTAGCCTTGGGTAAAGGTTCTGAACAGCAATAATCATATGCCATTGTTTGGTAAGAGAAATCATTGGCTTTTACAAGACTATGGGACTTCCAATTTTTATATGCCCTCTCTTCTGTTGGATCTCTACTTGCAAATCAGCTAATCACTGCCTGAGTTCATCATTTTTATAATTTCTTCACATAATCAGCAAGGAATTGAGATACACTAATAATATGATGTAAAATGTTTTCTTTAGAGCCCATTGTACTTAGCTTTCAAGTTATTGTTTTATGAAATATTTTGCCACAGCACAAGAAGAATCACTGGCTTTGTTGTCTGCCATGTGCCTTTGCCCCCCTGCAGTCTAACACCTAAGGTAACAACATATATTAAGGTTGCTTGTAGCATTATTCTGTTACTCAATTTTTTGAGTCAAAAAAAGCATCAGCTGCTCTAACAAACTTCAAATTAATTCAGTATCCTAAAGAAGACAGAAGCTTATTTTTCTCAGAACAGCCAAAGGAGAAAGGTGGATAGTGGCTTCATTCCATGCAGTCAGTCAGGGACCCAGGTCCTTTCCATTTTGCTTCTCTGCACACGCAAAGCACTGAGTCTCAGGCATGTCCAGACTCTAGTTCATGGGGATGGCAAAGGACATGCAAAGAAATGAGCATGTCTGAAGTATAAAACATCACATGTAATCCAAATTGCCAAAAATGTAGTGATACGGTGTCAAAGTGGCAAGGGATATCCCAGGCTGGACAGCTATATTGTAGCTATAATTCTATCCTACAGAAGAGACGAATGGATTTGTGGGGATAGTGAGCAATGTAATACTATGAATCAAGGGAAGAATAGATTTAGGTGGGCAATTATCAGCTTCTACAAAAATGAGTTTCATTCCCTTATAATTTACAATCTTACTGGGAAATCATGTAAGGTCAATAGGTAATTATAAATAGTTTGTAAAAGGCTGTGGTTGTAAACACAGTATGATGTTAAGCAACAAAACAATGAATCTAACCTGGCTTGAGGGGTGAGGAAGGCTTCTAAGAGGAAGTGTATATAAAAAGAGTCCTAAAGGATGAGTAAGTTGTTGATACTGAAGTTGGGAGGCAGGGGAGTCAAGGGCGTAGAAGAAGTGAACTCAGCCTGCATGAAGGCCTGTAGACAAGGCAGGGCGTGACACTACTGGAAAACTACAAGAAGTCTGCTATGGCATATATATAAAATTAAGTTTAAAGAATGAATTGCTGGACTGTAGAGAACATGGGGAAAATGGCATGAAATGAGATTTGAGAAGCTAGATTACAAGGGACCTTATAGAATCTATAACCTTATAACCATGCAGTCAATATTAACCTGAAGACAGTGGGGAATCATATATAAGCCAGCCCTGTCTCCATCCCAGAAGGAAACAATTTTCTTTTTCTGTTACGTCCGGAGCATCTCCTTATTCTTTAGCTCTCTTACCCCTCATAGCCTCAAGTAACATCCCACAGAGATAAAGCACTTTATTCTCCTGTGAGAAGAAATCTGCATATTTTTTCATTTACAGTTCTACACTTTTGTCTGTTGATGAAGAACCCTTATAATTTGATTTTGTGTAGAGGTGGGAGTAAATCCGGTTGTGCCAAAGCTTCACTTTGAATGACAATGTTTTTATATTATCTCAGTGATTTTTTTCTTATATTAATGTAAAGGTGATACTCATAATCTAAGGAATAAGCATCTTTTGTAAATACCCTTATTCTAGCTCCACTCTCATAAAAGCTATTTTAATGTATTTTCCCAGGGCTATAGGCAAAGACTACAACTGCTGCCTTTGACAGGAGTGTGGAGGAGAGAACAAATTATGCCCTGTAAAAGCAGAGGGCAAGATAAAAAGCAGTAGAATTAAAATAAACAGTTGCGTAAGCATCAAGGTGTTTTTGTTTGATTATATCATGTTTTAATCTTTTGCTTATCTATTTACAGAAGCGGGCTGCAGTATCAGAACAGCTTATTCTCCATTGTTATTATTGTTATTGTTATTTTGGAAACGAAGTCTCACTCTGTCGCCCAGGCTGGAGTGCACTGGCGCGATCTCAGCTCACCGCAACCTTCGCCTCCTGGGTTCAAGTAATTCTCCTGCCTCAGCCTCTCAAGTATCTGGGATTACAGGTATGCACCGTCACACCCAGCTAATTTTTGTATTTTTAGTAGAGACAGGGTTTCACCATCTTGGCCAGGCTGGTCTTGAGCTCCTGACCTCAAGTGATCTGCCCACCTTGGCATCCCAAAGTGCTGGGATTACAGGCCTGAGCCACCATGCCTGGCCTCCCTTGTTATTTTTATGAAGCACACTATATTTCATATTTTATCCTTCTTTACACATACTCGTGTAGGGAATGTTAAATTTAACCTTGAATTCTGCTTTATTACTTAAGGAGAAGTAGTTAAGCTCCTCTGGAAGTTTTGTGAGTGGGGAATAAAGTTTACTTTAGTTACCTGAGTCTTCTTAACAAATCCACATGTACGGTTGGCTCTCTGTAGCCATGGATTCTGCATCTCAGATACAACCAACAACAGATCAAACATATTTGAATAAAAAATACAACAATGCACCAATAAGAATAAGTCAAATTAAGAAAGCAACACAGCATAGCAACTGTTTACATAGCATTTACATTGCACTGAGTCTCATAAGTAATCTAGAGATGATTTATAATATACAGGAAGATGTGCATAGGTTATATGCAAATACTGTGCCACTTCATGTAAGGGACTTGAGCATCCACAAATTTTGGTATCTATGGGAGTCCTGGAACCAATCCCCTATGGATACTGAGGGGTCTGTATATGATGCTGGATCCCACTGTACCTAATTCACATAATAAGCCCCTCATACATCTGAATCCTTGGGAACACACCTCATTTCTGTCTGCCTGCCACTTGGGCTTCCTTCTGGTCATCTGATCCCCTTTTGAGCTATAAATCACATGTTTGAATCTCCTGACCCTGTGTCTTTCTTATTCTGAATCTCGTCAGGGTCCAGAATGAGGTCTTATGCTTTGATCTCCCCAGATGGCCTAAACTCAACATCTGCAGAGCTGAGCACACCCTTCCATCCACCACCCTCAGCACACAACCCAGCCTGCTTTTCATCCATACCCTATTTCATCACGCCTAAGATAGCCCATTTCTCATTTAAAAGTCCTGAAATCAATCTGTCTCACAATGGATGATATCTTGGGCAACATTCTTAATACATTTGACCCACAAATGCATACAGAAATTTGGTCCTCAATGTTCACATCGTTGAGGAGTCCCAACTGGCATAATATCTCTACTAACCTTCAGCATAATGTACCCCCATTTTCCTATTCATTTATTTGAAAACATGAAATCACATTTAATAATATGTCAAAGTCATTTCAAGAACATTTCTAATGCAAAAGTAATTTAAAATTAAATGTTACCATCCCAGAAAAAGTCAAAGATAAAAATACTGAAACTAAAAATATGATCAGCAGATGAAGAGGTGGAAGTAACACATCCCAAACTTTCATGATATGACTTTAGTTTTTCCCCTGCTACAAACCAAATTTACACTTCTAATTTTAGTAATTATTTTACAATCTTATTTTTCCCTGTCTTTTATCATTGCCATTTGGTTTTGCTTGGACTATTTTGATCCCAATCAATCAATCAATCAATGAGTAAACATCTTCAAAAACATCTCAGCAGCTAAACAGGACATTGCACAAGAGATTAAAGAAACTCTAACTACACCTACATTCAAGATGTGTTTTATACTGTTTGAGAGAACAGTTATAAACACATCCGCATCTAGAATACCAGCCCACACACTGCAGATGCTCAATAAATATATATTACATAATAAAAATTTTATTGACAGATAATGACAGCAAAAAATTAATGCTAACAGTAAAAACGCATCTCATAAACAGGGATGATCACAAGAACTATAGGCTTTTACAGGAGGCAGAGATGTCTATAGGCTGATCTTACCCAGGTTCACCTAGACTCCAGGATGCAGTGATTTGAAGAGCCTATACAGTGTCTTTGTGCTCATTGGGAAAAGGCACTCTTTCCTCTAGGCAGATGCAAACCTATACTGTTGGCTTATCGAAGAAAGCATGCACTGGACTTTAGCTCCTTTTCTATACACTTTTCCAGGCACTCTTGTTCAGTAAACATCCTAAACAACTGTGCATGGTGACTTTGCAAAAGAGAGAACTTATGCCTGAAAAGGCATTTAACAGTTTTCTGTGATTACAATTTGTGTTTTTGTTGTTGTTGTTGTTGTTGTTGTTTTTTCAAATTCCTCTTCCCTTTCCACAATGGCTTATTTATTTAAAAACTTGTGTCTTCATGGTTAGGTCTAGCCCACCCACAGCCTAATGAAATGGCTTAAACTTTAAATATTATTTCCACTTTGAAGTCACATTTTGCATCCCCTTTTGCTTTCTCAATTTAAAAAAGTCATTGTCTCTCTAATGAGAATGTAAAATCATAGTAAAACATATTAAAGTATACATCTAGCACCTTCTGAGGCACTAAATGCCTTGATATTCATCACTATTCCCTTTAATCTTTGGAGCCCCCTTTGAGGTAGACATGACTAGGAGCTCCATTTCATAAATGAGAAGATGGTGAAGCTGAGATTCTGTGACCTAGTTCGACTCTTGCAGGAGGTAACCAGGCCTGAATTTGAACATTAGTTCTCTGAATTCAAATTCTTGAGGGTGAATTCCATGAGAGTGGACACCATTTTTTTAAATCTCCTCTTTCAAATTCTCAAATCTTAAAATACTGATGTGGTCAATATTCCATAAAAATGCAATCCATTTAATATTTATTTTTAGGACCTGCTATGTAGCACTTATAATTTTAGACACTGGGAATATAGTTGTGGGCAAAACCAATAGAAATCCCTCACTCTCATACAGGTTTTACTTCAATTGAGAAGACAATAACTAAATTGACAAATAAGTTATGTGCCAGATGTTATGGAGGTAAAGCGGGGAAGGGTTAGAGAGAGTATAGTAAGAGCACAGGGGACTTGCTATTTAAATAAGATGGTTGAGAAGAGCTGCAATAATCAGCCAATATTTGAACAAAGGTCTCAAAGGAGGAGAGGAGTAAGCCACGCTGGGTTAGAGCTTGCCAGAAAGAGAGAACAACCAAAGCTAAAGTCCTAATGGAGAACTCTTCACTGAGGGTTGCACTTTGCATGAAAGTAACAGCAAGAGAGGTAATTTTACCAGGAAGAAGTGACCAACAAGAAAGAGAGATAGGAGATGGGGTCAGGGAGATAAAAGGAGTGGCTGAGATACATGTTATACCTTTATTAGGACTCTGATGTGGACTCCGACTCCAGGTGACATGAAAAGCCACAGAGGTTTTAAGAAGAGCAGTGACAGAATCTCGTTTTCGTGAAATAGGATCAAACTGAATGCATGTTTACAATAGACTCTTGAAAGGCAAGGATGAAAGCAGGGAGCCCAGTAAGGAAAAGTGATAATAATGATGACTAACACCCTTCAGAGATCCAGCTGGTGGAATTTGCTGATGAATCGGATGTGAAGTGAGGAAGAATTGAGAGAACTCAGAAGACTGTTGAGTGAATGCTCAACTGTGCTCTTAACCATGCTTTGCTTCCTGCTAACAATCACAACACTCCCAACTGTTGTGGTTTATAAAATAAGTTTTTATGGAGTATTTTAATGAACCTTGGACCAGGAGTCTTAATATGTGATACTTCCTACTAATTGAGTTTTATCAGTTTCTGGTCTTTGGTAGCTTGGTTTCCTTAATGTTGAAACTTAAGTAAACAAAAAGAAAGGAATAGAAAACAAAAAGCAAAACTTCAGATTCGTCTATAGTTAAACATATAACTCAGATGTTTTGCAGAGTTGAAAAGATGATTTAGAATTTTATAGATGCAATATTACCTAACATTTCCTGAATTAATATATTGCTTTATATTTTTCCAAAAGTTCTTCACAGAATGAAGAGTATATGTATTTATATTTTAATTTTATTTCCACAGAAAGACCAAATAGTGATTTTTGAGGCTTGTGATCAAATGCATTCTTATTTCTCTGGAAGTTTGCGTGCTTGCATTTGACATTTTAGTTTTTAACTTACTTGCATTCTCTGTACTATTTATTTAGCTTGTCTATTTCAATCAATGCTTATCAGGAAGAGTTATTGGATTTTTTATATATTACCTAATTTATGTCCATGAAATTTTGACAATATTCCAAGAATCTAGAAAGAACTTCAGTGAGTACTTGATATAGTGTTTCTCAATTATTTTTAATCCACAGTAATATCACAAGATTGCCTGAGTCACGATTATATGACCTTGTATTTGTAGATTTTTCAAGAGTAGGTCTCATATGAATATATTTTCTTAAATCAGGAAAACTGGGAGAGGGCTGTTACAAAAATTAAATAAGTTCATATACATATACTATTTAGGACAAGGCCTAGCCACAGTCAGTACTGTAAAAGTATTCACTATTATAATGGCAATCACCTGCAAATATTTTTTTACTCAAAAATATTTCTTTAAACATAATTTTATTTGATTCAATAATAAAAACAATGTTACTAAATACGCTTTTTAAAACCACACATGTCCCATTCCATTCTCAAGATCTTCCTATAATTCTCACCTAGGGTGATCAACCCATCCCTGTTTATCTGAGATTTTCCCATTTCTAGAATTGAAAGTTCCACATCCTGGGAACCTCCTCAGTCCCAGGCAAACTGGGAGAGTTGGTCACCCTACCTCTCAGGTTCTTCACCCCATCTTCACAATCACTGCTATAACCAGACTTCTTTGTTTTTCAAAGTCACACAGCTGATGTCAGATGCAAAAGTAGACCCTGGGTCTCCTTATGCACAAATTAAAAAGATGCACAGACTGTCTGAGATAGAGGAGAGGGAATGTCCCATGAATAAACACTCTGTGTCACCCTTTCTTACCTTCATGCTGTCTATGAGTGTGTAGTTTGTATGCTCATGATGATGTACAGAGTATTTCCATCACATGTATGTTCATAAATATAATAAAGTCATAACAATAGTATATTACAGTTCATAGCTTAGAAAAACAAATGCTTCAAAAATTCTTAAAGAACATTCAGGCTGTTAGACACATGTCTATTTTATACTACTTGTTATCTATGTTTCCAGATAAATATATATAAATTTGATTTGAAAATTACAACTATAGTATATCTATACAATAGAATATCACTCAATAATACAAATAATTAACTGCCAATGCACACAACATCTTGAATGGATCTCAAAGACATTATAATGAGTGAAAGAAATTAGTCTCAAAAGATTACATATTGTTTGGTAATATCTATATGATATTCTCCAAAAGACACACTCTAGCTATGAAGGATAGATCACTAGTTATCAGGGGTCAGGAATCAGTGAAGGAGCTGAGAATGAAGGGATGGCTTGAAGGAATGTTTGGGGTTGATGGAATTGTTTTGTATCATGATTCTGGTGTTAGTTTCATGAATCATTGGATATATCAAAATTCATAGAATTGTATATCAAAAGAAAAAAGTCAATTTTACTCTATGCTAATTAAAAACAAATAGATGAAATATAAGTTCAGATTTCTAAAATGAGGAGAACTATAACTCAGCTTCAGAGACAGAGGATCTGACTTTCTAGTCCTAAATAAGGTATTAACGGAATAATATTTGTCATTCAAGACTATGTGATTTCAATAACATCTTAAAGGTAGCATCAAATGATAAGCTCATGAGATATGCACATGCTCTTCTACAATCCCTAGCTCCTATGCATTTCTGTAGGGTCAGGAGATTCACTCTGACTTGAATCATAATTATATATGAGTCAAAATTATATATGACTTCTGGACAGTTAGGGGATGGGGTCTCTCTCCCTGTCTCATACACACACACACACACACACACACACGTATATATACACACATATATATACATATATATACATATATACACATATACACACATATACATACACACACATACACACACACACACACACACGTATATATACACACACACACACACACACACACTCTAGAGAAACATAACTTTTTGTTACTTTGCAGTAGACACCCTAAAGTGGGCTGATGGGTTGTACAGCAAGTATATGCTTAAGCTTGTGAGAAACTGCCAAACCATTTTCCAGAGTGTCTGTACCATTTTGCATTTTCCTCAGCAATGTATGAGCCGTGCAGTTGCTACATCTTCTTCTATAGCAATTTGGAGTATCTGTTTATTTTACTTTTTTAGTCTGGTCATTCTAATAGGTGTGTAGTAATATCTCATCATGAATTTATTTTGAATTTCTCTAATGGTTAATCATGTTGAAAAACTTTCCATGTGCTTATTTGTCATCCTTATGTCTTCTTTAATATAGTGTCCTTTCAAGTCGTTTGCTCATTTTAAAATTGGGTTGTTTTCTTATTATTGAATATTGAGAGTAACTTATATACTCTGAATATTAGTCCTTTGTCATAAAAAATGCAATTAGTTTTTCTGGATAAGTAGCTTGTTTTGTTGTTTTTTTAAATTATCTTAAGAATGTCTTTCATGGAGAACATTTTAAAATTTTTAAAGGAGTCTTATTTATCAATTTTTTAATGGATGTTTTTGGTGGCTTACCCCAGATAATATCTCTACTTATCACTAGTAATGGAGGATAGAATGAGAGAACAAATGCAACCAGTGACAACCTTACTCTCTTAAAGCCATAGCTCTACTCATCAAAGAGGAAGGTTCTCTACCTTCCGAGTTTGGCTCTTGGAGTTTCCTGTAACTATTACTACCATTGCTAACATATATAACGGAAAAAAAAAATGGATTTCTCCACTCTCTCTGAGAGTTGCAAATATAATATAGCAAATATAAATACTGAGCTTACAGAATAATTCGGAATATTTTTAACTAAAAATTTAATTCAAAAATTATTCAATTGAGTGCTAACTGGAAGTTCCTGATTGCACTATGAAAGCCCACACATAACAAAATATATTCAACAGATTTTCCCTAAAATGGCCTATTTTGGTTACATTTATTCATTAATTCATATATTCAATAATTTTAAGCACCACACATGTACTAAGAAGAACATGAGACAGATTTCTCCTTAGTATAAAAATAAAAATTTCAAAGTAGGTTCCTGGATTTCCCTTTATCAGTGTGTATCGGCCTCCCACAAGTGAGGTGTGCAAAATGCAAAACAGTCATGCATTCCCTTCTCAGGCATGTTCACACTGCAAAGGAAGCTGAAGCCATGTCTGTATCAGTCCATTAAACAAGACTTTACCTTTACTTTCCTTCAGAGTAAACTAAGAAAAATTGCACACGTGTGTGTAGCCATGCACCTGCATACACACACACACACACATTCATGCATGCATATTATTTACCCTTTCCATGAGTAATAGGCTCTATTTCAAAGATTCAAAGATTAACTTTGTTATATAAATCTCATAACTAGACAGTTTCATATTCGTTTTGGTCAAATCGAATGCAAGGAAGATTATATGGGAGGGAAATAAAATTAGAGGTGAGGTTTGGTGGTTTGGAGAGCCATGATCATAACTTTTTCATGCTTGTTAGACCAGAGATTTAACTGCAATTTCAAGTTTAACTTTAGAGTTCTGTGGCGTAACTTATATAGTAGAAGTTCAATACATTGACAGAAACAAATAGAGGAAGAGACTGTTATTGCTCATAGGCACTGATTGTCTTGTAAGTGACCCCCCCCCCCAAAAAAAACCTCATTTTATTTAGAGGTTCTCTTTAAAATCCTTAAAATAACTTAATAAAATTAATTGTGGAAAAAACGTGAATGTGTTGAATAATGGAGCAACAGGATTAGAGGTAGATCAGGTTTAAAGCCCTACTTCGCTACCTCACCAGCTGTCTTTTTGGTTTCTTCATAGATAAACTGAGTGTCATTATACCTCTGCAGCAGTGCTTAGGTTGTTGCAAATTTTAAATGATAATGCATATAAAGCCATTTTCACAGTATATGTCATATAAAAATATTCATTAAATGTTAATTTCCAACATGGGATCTAGGAAACAAAAGAAAAGAGAGGAAAGAAAGGTGTTGGCCAAAGTAACATAATTAAAATCTCTCCATTTACAAGAGGATGGAGTTCCAGCCATGCCCATCTCTAGCATGTAAGGGGTCCTGGATCCTTCTGTTAAAATGAATTTGAGTTCAGACTCAATGACATGGATTGGGAAACCTAAAAAGACGTCCTGACCACAAAAATATATTTCTGCCCTTAAAGTGGGGAATGAGTGGGTTGGCACTGGTAGGTAAACACATATTTTTCAAGTCAGAGTTAAAGTTTAGCTGTAGGATTAACCTTCTGATTTAGTAGCAGATTCAAATAAGAGCATGATAGCTATAGATGAGATGGGTGATAGTGATAGTTCCATTTTTCGATCTATAAACAAAAGTATGAAAGGCATCTAAATTATTCTATTTAAAATTATTAATTTCAGAGTTCAAGTTGTCAAACTAAGATTTGAACTAAATGAACACATACCTCAAGAATGAGATTTCCAGTCCAGAAGTGAATATCTATATAACGCATTGCCCCAGGACACTTCCCTTTCCTGAAATGTCTACTATTCATCTTTCACAACCACAAATTACTGGAAAAGTTGCCAGCTTGTTCTCTGCAAGATTTTTGGAAGAACTTGCTTGGCACATTACGTCCTATCTTGAGGTTTGCAAAGAGAAAGGACAGTTTGACAAGGCCATGTCAGGGAAATGTTGCCCCACCAGCAAGCCAAAGGTCAGACTGTAATTTAAGCTGCAGTTTGCTTGTGAAGGGTAGAACACTCCCTGGTTTCATCTCACAAGCAGGGAGAAAATCAATCCTTTAGTAGCCTTCGAATGGAAAGTTTAATTCAGGACAAGAAAAGTAAACTTGTTTTGCTTTTTTTTCTTTATTCTCATTGGTCAGCAGACAGCTCTGTAATTGTTCTGTTGACAGCATAAGTTTTTTTAAGGTTAACTCTGTCCTTCTTTTTCCTCTCCCGGATCTCAAATTACACAGAAAACGGAAAAAATTGAATGTATGCTTAGACCCCAGAAAGTTCTCTAGCAATGATTACCCAGATATTTAATGGATCCAAAGTTCAAACTCAATCCAAATGGTTTTCATACAAAAACAAATACCATAATTGTTCCATAAAGAGAACTTTATATTGAACCACTTGATTTGATTAATAATCCATGGACTTCATCTATGGACTTTCAAAAAACAAAGCCACAGTTTCAATACAACACTTTCTGAGAGTTAGAGGAAAAATAGCCGATTTAGTTTGGATATTTGTCCTCTCTAAATTTCGTGTTGAAATTTGATCTCCAGTGTTGAAGGTGGGGCCAAGTGGAAGACGTTTGGGTCATGGGAGTGGATCCTTCATGAATGGCTTGGTGCACTCCCCATGGTAATAAGTCAGCCTCACTATTTTAGTTCACCCAAGAGCTGTCTTTTGTGTTGCTTTGTTTTGAGCTTCACTCTTCACTTCACAACAGCTTTGCTCTTGTCACCCAGGCTGGAGTGCAATGGCGTGATCTTGGCTCACTGCAACCTCTGCCTCTCTGGTTCAAGCGATTCTCCTGCCTCAGCCTCCTGAGTAGTTGGGATTACAGGCATGTGCCACCACACCTGGCTGATTTTGTATTTTAGTAGAGATAGGATTTCACCATTTTGGTCAGGCTGGTTTCGAACTCCTGACCTCAGGTGATCCACCCACCTCAGCCTCCCAAAGTGCTGGGATTACAGGCGTGAGCCACTGCGCCCAGCCAAGAGCTGGTTTCTTGAAAGAACATGGTACCTCCTCTCCCTTCCTCCTGTTCTCGCCGTGTGACTGCCTGCTTCCCCTTCACCTTCCACTATGACTGGAAGATTCCTGAGGCCCTTACCAGAAGCAGATGCTGGTGCCATATTTCTTTCAGAGCCAGTAGAACCATGAGTCAAACCTCTTTTCTCCCAGCCTCAGGTATTCCTTTATAGAAACACAAAATGGACTAATACAATAGCTTACTGTATTAAGCTCTAAGACTCTTCTTTGGTTCCTACAATTTGAGTTGAGTTCGCTTTCAACTTTAACCTTACTGAGGACAGTTGTATCTTTTGAATAAAAGCTTTGCTAATCATTTCATTATCAGAAGAATTCTGTTTTGGCTTACATGTTTTTGTTGTTGTTCTTATTATCTTAATATGCTATTAACGTGATGTTGCTAGTCAATTTGGTACTTAGCAATTTTATAATATTAAGTTTCTTGACCTAAATTATCAAAATTGTACATTTCCATTGCAAAGAAAATAAAAATCTAACCATACAGAAAAGTCAAATACCCAATCAGCAAATTTTGTTCATATTAAATTTAATCACATTTTAACCTCTCTCATGTAGACTGTGGCAAAAGCCTTCTGCCCAGGCTCCCTGTCTCCTCTCATGCCCTTAACTTTCTAATCTGCACACAGCAGCCAGAGTGATCTCATTCAAATATAAGTCAGATCATGCCATTTTCATGCTCAAAACATTCCCATGGCTTTCTATTGCATTTAAATGGAATCTAAAGCTCTTCCTATTACTGACAAATCCCTGTATAAACAACCCTCTCCTGCTCTTCTTCTTCTTCACCTTATGCTAAAAACATGCACCTCTTTTTATTTCTTCAGAGCTCATCCACACTTTCCTGGTCCAGGGTCTTTGCACTTGCTAACCCCGTGCTTGGATGTTCTCCCCACAGGTATTGGCTTATCCCCTCTCATTCAGATCCCTGCTCAAAGAGGCTCCCTTACCTAGAACAGCAGTTACTATCACTCCCTATTCTCTTACATTGCTTAATGTTTTTCTAACAGCATTCATTACTGGTACCGTTTTTACATTTATTTGTTATTTGCCTCTCTCCTGGAATATGAATTCTACAAGAGCCAAGACTTGTTTACATTTATATTCTCAGCACCGGACTAGACAGCTCCTGACAAGGACTAGGCATTAAATATTTAATGAACGAAACTCACTCCGCAAAAGTCACACTATGAATGCATTAATGTGTATCCCTCTAGATATTTTCTACATACACATAAACTATTTTTCAGAAGTAAATTTTTTCAATGATATTGCTTTCAAAATTTCTGTGTGTATGTGTGTGTATTTTCAAACACTCTCTTTACCTAGACTTCTAGGAGCAGAAAGCTCCAAGTCCTTCTCTGGCCATTTCAGACTAAACCTTCTGTCACCACCCTTGATCCAACCTTCCACCATCCAGCTTCCTTTAGACCTGTTGCAGCTCCCTTTGCTATTTAACTTCATCAATATTTACTGCCCGTTCTCTATCTACCTGTTGGTATGCATATATCTTACTTTCCTTCTAAGAAAAAATATTTTTCCCTTAAAACACTTCTCCTATCTGTTATTTTATCACCTTTCTTCCTATAATTACAAGAACTCAAAAAAGAGTAGTCTACACCACTAAAGAGTGGTCTCCACTTCCCCATGGCTCATTTGCTGTATAAGTCTCCCTAAAATCTACCTTCTGCTCTTAGGATTCTGGGAAAAACTCTTTTCAAGCTGAGTAATTACTTTCCCATTGTTAAGCCCCAAAGCCTTTCTCAGTATAATTTCCTAAATCTCTGGTGAGCACCTGCCAATATTTACTACAACAATCCTCTGTGGCCTCATGGCATTGCACTGCAGAATGGCCATAGTAGAAAGCCTTAGCTACACTCCACTTCTTTAAAACAGGAGTGTTCAGTTGTTTCACTCTTTTCCTGGAAAACTGGTAGCATCTATCTAATCAGTATGTCAAAAACATTTGTCCCACAGTTCCCCAGAATTTGAAAATAGTTCTGCTCTGTGTTGTATTCAAAAGGTCAAGCTTTAGGTACTTGAACAAAGCTACATAGGCAGCAACTCTTCCATTTCAATTAAATAGCCTTGTGGTGAAGACGCCTTCAGTTCAGATATGCAGGGTTCTTGCAGTCTCTTTGCCCCCATCCCATAAACAATGATATCTAGTAGTAATTCCTACCATGTATCTTAAACAACTAGGGCTTGTTTCCAGCTTTACTCCTATCAGCCCCCACTTGTTGTAGAAGTGGATTCTATTCCCCTTCTGGCTTTTTAATTTGAAGTGGATTCCACTATTATACTCGGTATGCAATTGACTCTTACACTGTGATGATTCACCTGTATCCACTAAATGTTTCCCCAGATCTGAACCCTTTGAACTTTGGATGGCTGTACACTTCTGAACTCTAGCTACTCTGCATAAAGCAGAGTATTTCTTGAATGCATATAACTTGTTTATCTTATTAGTGGCTGTATTCCTTTCTGTAAATATCTGGTCTTTAATAGATGTTTAAAAGATAGTTCTAAGTGAATGAATAAAGGAATGGATGAGTTAAAGTGAATTTACCACATTTGTGTTTGAATTTTGTTTCTGTTTTTCAGCGCCCTCCTAGAAAGCAGCTCATTTTCAGTTTTACTAAGCTTCCACCAGCTTCTGGCTTAGCTTCCTTCCCTTGTTTTATTCCTGTTTGTGTTTCCTGTTGCAGCATGGTCAACTTCATCCTGGCAAGTCCTCTAACCTCCCCTAAATAATCAGACTTTCTCTATCAATCAGACTGGTAACAATTAGAAAGAGTGGCACCTATTACAACTGAAGTTGCAGGAAAGGGGTGTTGTCTTCATTACTCTTGGAAGTGGGTAGTGTTACAACTCTGGAAGGCAACCTGACAACGTTAATGAAAATTAAATTGTATATATCCTTCAAACAAGCAATTCCACTGTGGGAATCTCTGCCCCAGAAATAAAAGTGAAAATACATAAAATTTCTCTGTAAAAGAGTATTTATTGCAGTGCTGCTTATAATGTTTTAGAAAATTGGAAATGAATACCCATCAAATGACAAATAATTTACAAATAATTATATATCCCATCACAGTACCAGCCATAAATTCATGCTATAACAAATTACTTGACAGAAGAAAGATGTAGTAAAGTTTATTTATCACTTATGTAAAACAAAATGATTGTTTTGTCAACTGTTCCACATATATGTATAGTCGCTGAATTATATAAATTCAGAGAATTCATATAAATGCTTACTAGGAAACATGGGTTACCGGGGGTATAAATGGAATTGAGGATGTTGGCAATGATGTGAGTAGAGGAGGAAACAGAGGGAAAAGAGAGAACACAGCTCCTCAAAAGTCCCCCAAATCTACATTTTGTAAAACCATATAAATGTTCACATTCATCAATTTCTATAAAAATAATAGCAAACAGATAGTTCTTACTCTATACCAAACATTGTTCTACTGCTCAATATATTATTTAATCTTCTACCAACTTAATGAAGTAGATACTATTTTAACCCCCATTTTTATAGATGATAAAATGTAGGCACAGAGAAATTAAGGAACTAAAGTCACAAAGTTAGAATATCGCAATTTGTCTTTAAATCCGGATAGTTTGGGTCCAGAGACTACTCTTAACCATATACTTTGCACATACCCTGTCTCTTAGGGTATGTGCAATGAGTAAAGAAAAGAAATTAAAAGTAATTCTTAAAGATGCACAATGTGGCAATTAACAGGATAGTATTGTTTCCAAATTGTGCATTTTACTAAACCAGACTAATCTCTTTAATTGTAGCCAATTTCATTTTAAAAAAAATAGCCTTAACTATTTTTAATATGTGCTATTCGTACTTGTCTAATCATGACTGCTCTTCGCAAAGGAATAAATCCTCCTAGATTATATCAGTTATACCTCAAGTGACCTGTCCCAATAATCATCAAAAAACTAAGTATCAAGGATCTCATTTTAAGAGCTGTTGATAGGGAAAATTAACTACTTGTTGCACAAGCTTTTCAGATCTCATTCTCTTTCTCAGTGGAATAAGGATTATCTATAAAACCTTTTTGGTTAGAATGAAAGAAACCTCCTGTGACTAATACAAGCAGACGGCATAACTATAGACCACTACCCTTTATTTGGCAGGGAAGGACCACAGTGAAGGAAATAGTGCTTTGAATTTGAAATTAGTGAAAATCAACACAAAATAGAGGTAAGTAGTCATCTGAATAAATGACATAATATAAAAAAGGAGCTTGGAGCTTGAGGTTCAAGCTCAAGCTTGACTCTGCAGTTTACTTGGCTGAGCTACAGGTCTTCCATTGGAGAACTTACCAAGTGATACCCCTCAAGTTCTCCTTCAGTCAAGCAACCTTCAGAGCTCTAATTTTTTCTACTGAGTTTACTTAAGCAGCAGTTTCTTCATGAAATGAGAAAGTTACTGATTCAGCTCATCTTGTGAGGCATCTTTTCCACTATACATTCCTCTTCTGATATGCTGGTGTCCAAATCAGTTTTTGTGTGTGTTTGTTTTGGCCTGAATTTATCCTTTCGCGTTTAATCACCTCTGAGTAAGCTGCTAAAATGAAGATTCTGGACTTGCTGAGAGGAAGAAACCTCTCTGTTACCTCCCAGGCCTTGCCCTGTATCCAGTCTTTCTCCCACAATTTGACATCTGTGCACTGCAATGCCTCTCAGCAAAAGGGCTTTGACCATGGGACTGCCTGTCTTTAAAGATACATCTTGATCTTGACATGCATCAAAATGCATATTTGGACTTTAGAAGAGTGATGCCTAAGGTGATTCTAAATGATGGAATGGAAGAGGGACAAAATGAAAGATTCTTTCATTCTTAAATAGATGGAGTATGCATTTGAATGCCTAGAGGGAAAATCTGATTGACAGAGAAGATATATATTGGGACAGGGGTTAAAGGTGAACAGAGAGGCTTCAGAATTGTCAATGTAGTCATTGTCACTAAAGCATTCAGCCAAAAGAGGCCACAAAGAGATGTGGAAAAAGGAAAGGAACCTCATGGGTCAAGGACAGACTCTTGTGAAAGAAGTAGGAAGATATGGTAAGAGAAAGAAAGATGAATAGAAAGAAGCAGCATCTGTAATGAATGCTACTGCTCAATGAGAATGAGTGGGATTTTCAGGGCAATTGGGAGAATGGATGGATTGACATTAGATGAAAATCAATGGCTTTTAATTAATACCACCCCAAAGAGTAAGGATAATGGGGGCAGAGAAGTGGATGATTATACAAAATAAGGTCAATCCTGGTTAGAATAAATTACACTCCCTATAGATGGTCAGGAGTACTATGCTGTTTTGTTTTTGTTTTTGTTTTTTTTAAATCTATTGAGTTTCAGTGGGAGAACATATAAGGAAAGAATAGGAGCTATTCATCTCAAACAGATAGTCTGCCTTCATAAATAACTGCCATTATTAAAACAAGGATCAGTGTAGAGGTGGCCCTGATGCCCAGAATCCAAAGGTCAGCTCCCTGAAAGCCTCCCCAAATCACAGACGTTTACTATGGCCTGGCCCTGTTCCATCTGTTACAACTTTACTCTGCTCACTGGATTTCTCCTACAACTAACAACTCAAAAATCTCAGTTTAGAATTCCATAGAGCAAAAACATATTAAAAATACAAATTTTAGGCTGGTGGTGGAGGTTCATGCCTATAATCCCAGCACTTTGGGAGGCCGAGGAGGGCGAATCACAAGGTCAGGAGTTCGAGATCAGCCTGGCCAACATGGTGAAACCCCGTCTCTACTAAAAATACAAAAAACTACCTGGGTGTAGTGGCAGGTGCCTGTAATCCCAGCTACTTGGGAAGCTGCGGCAGGACAATCGCTTGAACCTGGGAGGCGGAGGCTGCAGTGAGCCAAGATTTTGCCACTGTACTCCAGCTTGGGCTGGAGTGAGACTCTGTATAAAAACAAACAAACAAACAAACAAACAAATTTTAAAAAGACAAAAGTTTAGCCTATTTAAAAAAGCACTATCATAGATGTACTTAAAAAAATTATATATATATAATGGGAAGAATATTAATTAACTGTTTATGGAAGGGCAGAGTAGTGAGGGATATAAAAAATAGAACATAAAAGAAAAACAAGTTTGAATATTAAAAACTACAGTAAGCTAGCAATTTAGAAACTCAGCTTGCAGTATGAGCCTGAGGAGGTCATCCAGTGGACCACCACATGACAGAACAAAGAAACAGGGAGAAAAAAAATGACGCTGGCTCCAGCTTACATAGTGTTTTCCTCTTCTCTCATCAAAAAAGAGGAAAGAGATGATAGAATATTGAATACCCTAAAAAGGACACCACAAAGTAGAAAAGTCACAATCTCAGTGTGTTTAGTGCCTGATACAGTTTAGATATTTTCCCCCACCCAAATCTCCTGTTGAAAGGAATCCCCAGTGTTGGCAGGGCCTGGTGGGAGGTGTTTGGATCACAGGGGCAGATCCCTCTTGGCTTGGTGCTGTCTTCCCGAGAGTGAGTTCTTGCGAGACCTGGTCCTTTCAACAGGTGCGGCGCCTGCCCTCTACTGTTCTCTGTCTTGCTCCTGCTTTCAACAGGTGAAATACAAGACTTTGCTTTGCCTTCTGCCATGAGTAAAAGCTTCTTGAGGCCTCCCCAGAAGCAGATGCTATCCTTCTTGTATGGCCTACAGAACCATGGGCCAATTAAACCTCTTTTCTTTTCTCTTTTTTTTTTTTTTTTTTTTGAGATAGAGTTTCCCTCGTCGCCCAGGCTGGAGTGCAGTGGTGCGATCTCGGCTCACTGCAACCTCTGCTTCCCAGGTTCAAGCGATTCTCCTGCCTCAGCCTCCTGAGTAGCCAGGATCACAGGTGCCCGCCACCATGCCTGGCTAATTTTTGTATTTTTAGGAGAGGTGGGGTTTTACCATGTTGGCCAGGCTGGTCTCGAACTCCTAACCTCAGGTGATCTGCCTGCCTCAGCTTCACAAAGTGCTGGGATTACAGGCATGAGCCACTGCACCCGGCCAAACCTCTTTTCTTATAAATTACCCAGTCTCAGGTATTTCTTTACAGCAATGCAAGAACCGCCTAACACAGTACCTTTTCAATATTTTAAAACAAAGTGTTGAGGACATTTAGAAAAGTTAATGTTTAAAATCATAGAGCTAATAAACTGACTTAAGGACTTGTCCCAACTATTAAACTTTAGAAACTATTTGGATATGAGAATTAGAACTAAATTAACTTGAATGTTAATTGATAACAAGGGAAAGGGAATTTATTTTTGCTTGTTAATATATTGTTCTATAGCTCACTCCTGATTAACAGTGAACAAATCAGTAAGCTCTTCACAGAGCCCGAAGAAGTGTTCTAGTATTTCTATTAGCATTCTGACAGTATACTATTGGGTAAAAGAGGAACATTAATGTGTAGAGGGTTTTTTTTTTTTCCTTCATGGATTGTTTTTTGTTGACTTTTGCCTCCATTACCTCAGTTATTTACTTCTGGATAAATTCCTACTTTGTTCAGTGTCCTCTCCACCACACCACTCGTGCCACCAATACTACCTAGTAATAGTTTTTTAATTTGGGGAATAAATTTTCATGAAAAAATAATCAAATAACAAGGACTACAACTAGGAATCCCTATTTAGGAATCAATGTATGAAATATTTACTGAAGAAAGCCTGGAAAAACAGCAACTATGCCATTACCCTTCTAGAGCAAACTATTATTGTAAGAAAATAATAGCAAGATAAAAAGGGCAAACCCAGAAAAATAAGTCCCCAGTAGTCAGTCAAGATCCAGCATTTGTCTTAGTTGATTTCCTGAGGAAATGGACTTGGAGATGAGGATTTTCATACCACAGGATTCCTGGGGCATGCACCAGAGAATGACACCCAGAAGGAAGGAAGCGAGAAAAGAAGGATTAAGCAGAAAGAAAGGATCATTATGGCTCTTTTCCAGGCTTCCTCATTCCCAATCTTTCTCTTTAGAGGCTCCTGACCTACCGACCAAACCATTTACCAGTGCATATAAATCTGTGTAAGTATTTGCTCAGACATGGGGCAACCACATACACTGTACAAAGATTTTCACTTCACCAAGTTGGAGGACTCACTTGATCCCAGGAGTGGTAGTGTTAAATTTGAGACAGCTCTCAAGAGATGTCCTGAGTTGAGGGGGTTGGGACCTTGAACACCTGCACTGAGCAGTCCTTGGATGCAATGTGTTTGTAGGGGAAGGATAAGGCAGCTCTCCTTGGACCTAAGACAATTCCTGAGAGGGACTCTGATGCGTACAGTCAGCTGGCAAAGCCCCCAGTAGCTAGAGAACTCAGTGCCTTGGTTATGAAAGAGGACCTGGGTGACCGACAGCAACATTCAGTCCTGTCTTGTGTCACTTGCATCCACTTATGTAAAAGTTCAACACTTCTTGGAATTGCTTCTCCAGGATTCACCTTAGTTTATTTTCCTGGATAATATTTTTTTGAGATGGAGTGTCCCTCTGTTGCCAAGGCTGGAGTGCAGTGGCATGATCTCAGCTCACTGCAACCTCTGCCTCCTGGGTTCAAGTGATTCTCCTGCCTCAGCCTCCCGAGTAGCTGGGACTATAGGTGTGTGCCACCACGCCCGGCCAATTTTTCGTGTTTTTAGTACAGACAGGGATTCCCCCTGTTAGCCAGGATGGTCTCGATCTCCTGACCTGGTGATCCACCTGCCTCTGCCTCCCAAAGTGCTGGGATTACAGGCGTGAGCCATCGCACCTGACCTTTCCTGGAGATTTTTAAGAGGAAGTCTATTAGAATGAAATAGAATTCCTGCCGCTGCTACAGCTGATCTCAGGGCCATAACTGGTGCACATTATCTCTGTCCTCTACTATCTATTCTAGATTCCCCTCACCCTTAACCAACAGTTCTGCTAATCGAACGTGACTTACCTTGTCTCTAGGAGGTCTGAGATTCTCATCACTATGTCCTCTCCTCAGCGTGCATGCTGCACTGTCCACTTACCTTCAGAACTGATCAGGGGAGTACCCTGAAGTGCTCCTACCAACAAGCTGCTCCTGTAAACTTCTTCCTTCCTGCCCTCATTGTGCAGCAGCAGGTCTATCTCTTCCTGATTATCTGGGTCAAGTATCCCTGCCAGGGTGGATCTTCCCCTCAGAGCATAATTGCAGGGACATGGGTGGGGAGCGCAAATTATCCAAGTATATCACTAACACTGATGGCAAGCAGGGCCGCTCCTAATTCCAACTCTTGGTTCCTGGACTCATATCATCTACCTACCGGGGACACAGTACCATCTCACCATCTCATGCGCTATCCCGGTAACTTGAGGGCATCATCTCATCTTAACTGTGTACTCAAATGGCTGTAATTCACCCTACCAGGCTTCTAATTGGTATGGTCTATAAGAGAACCTGTGGATCCCATGGTATTATGACCATTGCTCCACCAACTTTTTGGTAAAGTGGGTTCCTTGGTTCAATGCAATGTTATGTGGGATCTCATGTGGGTGGAAGAAACACTTGATAAGCCTTTAAAGAATGATGCTGACAGAGGCCCTATTTAGAGTATATCTCAATCCCACTCAAGATGAAAACTCTCCCTTCCACCATGGGTCCAATATCATCAACATGCCACCAAGTGGCTAGTTACCTCAATGGATGATGCCATATTAGGGGCTCCGTTACTGAACTGTGGAACTTTTGGCAATAGGATTAACTAGATCAGCCTTAATGAGTGGAAACCAGTGGCACCAGACCCATGCACAGCCTTCATCCCTATTACCCTGAAGTACTCTGATCATGCACTCAAGTACCTGTGTGTGGGTAGCCAATGAGAAATCCTGGCTAATATTAACTGGCTGGGTCTTTTTTTTCTACTTGTGGTGTAGTGGCTCTTCCGTACTGGATGATCTCTGGCAGGTCTTATATGGTACAAAGATTTTTAAACATCTTTCGCCTCTTCTATCGGTCCATGCATACACCTCTTTTCCAGACTTCCTTGACCCCAATCTTTCTCTTTTGAGGCTCCCGACCTACTGACCAAACCATTTACAACTGTGTATAAATCTGTGTATGTACCTTCCTCAGACCACTCCTCTTTATACACAATGTGGTGACCACACACACTGTACAAAGCTTTTCACTTCACCATTGGCCTTCAGGGCCACATCTGAGTGGAGCTGTAGTGCAGAAGCAGTCTGTTATTTTTGGCTTGAACCCACATACTAGGTAAATCCATTTGTGAGTCTAGCATGGCCTTTTTTCTCCCCAGTCAGCTGGTGATCAGGGATGCTGCATGGGGCTGACAGGTATCAGCGGAGGGAAAGGTGCCATGCAATATTGGCGGATGGCAGTGGAGTCTGAGTTACCTGCTGGTGCAGCGGATTTGCATCCTCTTTTCCTGCTCACGCCTGATCTTAGATGTATCCCCTTCATGTTATGATGAACTGCATTGGGCCTGATTTTTTGATTTGGTGATCTAGAGGTCCAATGCAGTTCATCATAACATGGAAGGGATGAACTGCATTGGGCCTGATTTTTTGATTTGGTGATCTAGACGTCCACATTGTGGTTTCCTAAATGACCTTCCCAGAAAACTCCACGTCTTTCCACCCTACTTCCTCAGCACAGCTGTCTCTAAGACCATGGGATATGGTAAAGCTGCCTATATAATAGTTTAGACAACATGTAGAATGCTTTCTTGCTCCAGACTTCACCCAAGCTGAGGGACTTCTGTGCTGCTTGGTAAATTAGTTGGCGAAGTAACCCAAGTGTGATATATGCTGCCTCCATGACTTGAAGAGGCATACCGTGTATTGTCTTTTCCTCTTGGTGGTGACAGATGTATAGTCACATAGGAAATATACCACATCTGGTCAGCTACAAATAGACAAATTGTTTGAGTCTACTATCATCTTCCAAGATTGGATTTTTTTAAAGGACCAGACCAGTTAATTAAATGTGGATATGATGAAGATAACTTCTGAATCTTTTAGCTCACTAACATTGGTAATGGTCTCTGCCAGTTCTCTCATTATGTTATATGGCTTTTTATTTACTATCTTGACTTGGTTGGGCAAAGGGGTCAGTTTCAGAGGCTTCAGCCTGGCCTTCCCCAGTAGGGTGGCTTTTGTCCCATTGTCCAAGAAATCAAGGCGATAGTCTTACCAATTCCCAAATATTTTCATGCTTACTATAAATTTAGAAACTGGGAAAACTAACACTGGATGTGTCTGTGGACCCAGTTAACTCCCTATGACCTGAACGTGGCCCAAGACTCCACTTATTCCCTAACCCTTAGAATCCACCATTTCTCAAAGTCTTTGGGTATTTCCCTTTCCCCGGTATACACAGTTACCTGAGTATATGGCCATAGGTACCTTCGGGGAAGATCTAGAGAAACTGGTACTTTATTTACCAGCTGAGATTTTGCAGGGTTCCTCCTCTCTGGTCACCTGACCTCTCTTGTAGACCATGAGCTCTGGACTTAAAACTTGGCTAAGTTACAGAAACTGGGCAAGGGATTTTGGCTTTTTATTGAAGTGGCTGCCCTCAGTCTTCTGAACATCCATCCTCTTTTTTTGTTGTTGTTATTGTATATATCAAGCAATGCTCTTGTTGACTCACCATCTATTTTGCCCTCAGAAAGACTATGTCTTACTATCTCCATAGTTTTTTTTTTTAATGTATTATATTTTAAGTTCTGGGATACATGTGCAGTACGTGCAGGTTTGTTACATAGGTATACATGTGCCATGGTGGTTTGCTGCACCCATCAACCCATCATCTACATTAGGTATTTCTTCTAATGCTATCCCTTCCCTAACCCCCCACCCGCCCCCAACAGGCCCCAGTGTGTGATGTTCCCCTCCCCGTGTCCATGTGTTCTCGTTGTTCAACTCCCACCTATGAGTGAGAACATGTGGTGTTTGGCTTTCTGTTCTTGTGTTAGTTTGCTGAGAATGATGGTTTCCAGCTTCATCCATGTTCCTGCAAAGGACATGAACTCAACCTTTTTTATGGCTGCATAGTATTCCATGGTGTATATGTGCCACATTTTCTCCATAGCTTTCTTAATATCTCCATAGCTTTCTTCAGGTCATGTCCCCATGGCTGCTGCTACACCCCTCTACTCATTACAATAATTGTAGCCACTCATTTACCATAGTTAAGCACTGTGACCTGACTCTTATTTCAGGTTTTTACCATCTGCATTGCTCTCAACTGAACCCACTTTTGTTAACACCACCTATTCTATCAGTCATATCAACAGCCATCACCAGGCTTCTCAATAATGCCGATGCTTCTCTTAGCAGTTCATTCCTTCTCACTTTACCAAATGGAGTATACTGGTCTCATGTAGCACATGCACTCAGGACTGTCCACTTCTGTGTGCCCTTTGATCTCTTCTACCTCCCGCCACAGCAGTACTGGAATTTTAATTTTATTTCTTGTAGGCCATTACTTTCTCTAAGCTGCTATAATGACACATGCACACGTATGTTTATTGTGGCACTATTCACAATAGCAAAGACTTGGAACCAACCCAGTGATAGACTGGATTAAGCAAATGTGGCACATATACACCATGGAATACTACGCAGCCATAAAAAAGGATGAGTTCATGACCTTTGTAGGGACATGGATGAAGCTGGAAACCATCATTCTCAGCAAACTATTGTAAGGACAGAAAACCAAACACCACATGTTCTCACTCATAGGTGGGAACTGAACAATGAGAACACTTGGACACAGGGTGGGGAACATCACACACCGGGGCCTGTCCTGGGGTGGGGGAGGGGGGAAGGGTAGCATTAGGAGATATACCTAATGTAAATGATGAGTTAACAGGTGCAGCACACCAACATGGCACATGTGTACATATGTAACAAACCTGCACATTGTGCACATGTACCCTAGAACTTAAAGTAAAATTAAAAAAAAAAGCCATTCTAGTATCATGTTAGCATTGTCTCCTGGGACCCCTGCATGGATGTTAATCCTGTCTCAAGGAAACTGTTCACTTTGATCAAGTTTTCTCAGAATACAATTCCACATGCATTCTCCTGGCTCCTGCTGATCAATATGCTAGCTCCATCTGGAAGTTTCTTCAGAGTATGGCCTCTTAGCAGATCAGTACTTCCTCAGTCAAGTAGTGTTTGATGTAAACTAAGTTAATAGTCTGGTGGCCAAGAGGAGCCATGGAAGTAGATCCTGAGTGGGGCAGGAGGGTACATTTTGTCCTTAAAGGCAAAAGCCTCTGCATCATCTTCAAGCAAAGAGAAAGGGGTATTAGTCTTTAAAAATGAAGTGGATCACTTCTGCAGGCCCAGAGGAGTAAGTACCTAGAGACTCAAGAGTTTTGAATGCATTGAAACATATATTCCCATCCCAAGTCTCAGGTCACCAAATCTTCCTAGTCAACACCCTCCTCTTGACATGGATGGCTTCTTGGGAATTAGAATGCAGCATTCTCTAGAGCATAGGTACCCTCATAATTGTGTCCTGGGTCTAATCTTTAGCTTTTCCTGCCCTTTGGCTAAAAGATGAGAGCCTCATTATATAATGCCAAGATATCCTCTGGCTTTCACTCTGCTTTAAATTGGTTAATCTCCCTCATCCTAACTTCAATGCATTGATAGCCCTCAGTAACAATCATCTGATCTTATAATTCTGCATCCCTGGAACCTCTCAAATGCCCAGGATATTTCACATGCCCATGCATGTCTTACACTAATATCCCACTGCAGTTAACCACTGGGAAAAGTGTGTCCAATACACCACAACCTTCCGGGGGTTACTACTTGTTTATCTAGTGGGAATAGTATGGTCCTTGCTAGCAGGCTGGCAGATGATCCAGCTCCAAAATCTTTTTGATAGCTTATTCCCTATGACTAGTCCTGACACTAAGTATGTTCTGTGGATTTCCTAGGAAACAAATGCTGAGATGGAGATTTGCATTCAGACAGTTTATTGGGGCATGCTTTCAGAAACACCTGTTAACAGAGGGAGGGGAACAGGATTTCACAGAGGGAGGAGTGGCACTCAGGTACAGTTGCACAAGAGGTCCCAGATAATCTCACAGAAAGCTTGGAGGCTGGGATAGTCCTACAGAGATACCCTTAATAGGGCAAAGGAGATCAGAATTATATCCCCACATTGTCCAGTGATTGAATGTGGCCTACATCATGAGGGTATAATATGAGGCAAAACTGCTTTTTTTAGGGCAATTCCTGGGCTGAGAGTCATCTGTACCATTCTTCAGTGACTGGGGAAATGAGTGCTCGAGGAGTGAATTTAGGCAGTGCAGCAAAGCATCTACTTTGGCATAAAAGCAACAAGTGACATTCTGCCATAAAGACAACCAGTTAATCCGTGCTAACTGTGCCTCTGACTGATGACTATAGCCCAACAGAACTTTTACACCCAAACTGTGTATGAGATCCTCATTATGCAACCACTCAGGCAGAGCTTCCTTGACCTTTACCTTTCTAATGAATAAAGTTATCAATAACTTGCCAAAGCAGGGAATATATTCTTCTATAGCAAGAATCTTCCACAAGAATTGGAATCAGAATGTCATAAATCACCTGCAAATAATGGTTGTGAACACATCTTTATATACACTAACTACTTGGTATCTTGCAGTCCTAGTTAACATTCATGCTTCTTCTGATCTGGGAGAAATAGTAAATTCCAGGGGGTTCTAGTACAGCTGGAAGCCTTTAGCAAGACCAATGTTCCACATAATTGCAGTCATGTATCACTGAACTACAGAAACACATTCTGAGAAATGTATCATTAGGCAATTTTGTTGTTGTGCAAACATCATAAAGTATATTTACACACACCTAGATGGTATAACCTGCTACACACCTAGGCTATATGGGATAGCCTATTGTTCCTAGGATACAAACCTGTATAACATGTTACTATATTGAACACAGGAAGCACTTTTAATTTACTAGTAAGTATTTATGTATCTAAACATATCTATACACAGAAAATGTAATGTGTCAACTGCAACATTACAATGTCACTAGGTGATAGGAATTTTTTGGCTCCCTTATAATTTTATGAGACCACTGTGGTGTATGTGGTACATCATTGACCAAAATGTCATTATATGGTACATGACTATAAATGTAGATTGAGGAGAGTTCTGCCTGAAAATCAGAGTGAAACAGCATAGCATATGGCCCAAGTATCAAATTTAAAAGGATATTTGTAGAAAGAAATGTGTCTATCTGGAGGCAGTTGGCCATAAAGCCCATGAAAAGAAAATTCTGGAAGAAGTTCAAGGTTAAAATGTATGCTGCATAGACGATCCAGAGTATTAATCATAAAAATCTCTCTTCCTCTTCTATCACCTTTTACCCTTCCTTTGCAAACCTATGTAAGCTTCATATGTCTATGCTGTGAGTTTGAACTTTGAAATTTGGAATGAGTACTTCATAATGAAAAGGAAAGAAGAGCCAAGTTTTCAACTTAACATTGAGTACGTGCTTACTTGCAATGTAAAATAACTGATAACAGAAGATGGAGGAGTGGAGAGAAAAATAAAAGGATCCAACTTCGATTTAATGCAGATATTTTCACTCATGTAAAGATGTGCTTAACTCACATATGACCATTCTTTGATTTAAAAACAAACAAAATAAAACAAAAACGTTCAAACTTTCAGTGGAAGCTCTCAAACAAATGGGTTTTCCTTATTCACTACAAGCAGAGTTGGCCCTCTTATACAATGTAAAGTGAAAGGCCATTCTCTTCCCACCCATACTTGAAGAATGGATCTAGGCAACACAGCATAGCATCTACTATGGCATAAAAGCAACAAGCAAGATCCTGCAATAAAGACAGCAAATGAATTCCCTACTTTCTTACTGTGATATCATAAGAACTTAATATTTGGTCATTTGTTCTTGTTTCCTGGAACACAGCTTCTAAAACTCTTGGAATCGCCAAAGTGATAAGAGTGTCTGTTGTATGCTAATGAGATGACTGGTAGGTGGGGGCCCCTGGATAGTTTCAGAATGGGGGCTGGTTACCAGAAAGACCAAAGCATTATTAGAAGGTGGTAACTTTCAGTCCCCCAACTCACCTTCACAGTGGGGAGAGGGGCTGGATATTGACTTAATCACCAATGGCCTGTGATTTAATCAATCTTGTCTATGCAATAGAATCTCCATAAAACGCCCTAAATGACAGGCTTCTGAGAGCTTCTAGGTTGATGAATACATCAAGGTGCTAGAAAGAATCTGTGTACAGTTGCTATAAAGAAGGGCATGGGGTTGGGTAATATATGAAGAAAAAGGTTTATTTGGCTCATGGTTCTGTGCACTGTACAAGAAGCATAGCATCAGCATCTGCTTGGCTTCTGGTGAGAGCCTCAGGCTGCTTCCACTCATGGTGGAAGGTGAAGGGGAGCCTGCATGTGCAGGGATCACATGGTGAGAGAGGAAGCAAGAGAAAGAGGGAACAAGTGCTAGGCTGTTTATAAGAACTAGATCTCTTGGGAACTAATAGAGAACTGACTCACTCCCAGAGGAATCATGAGGGCATTAATCTACTCATGAAGTTCTCACCCCATGACTCAAACACCTCTTGCTAGTCTCTACTTTCCAACACCACCACAATGCAGATGACATTTCAACATGAGATTTGGTGGGGACAAGCCACAGCAGAGGGCATGGAAGCTCTGTACAATCTCCACTCCCATACCTATGGAGCTCTTCCATTTGGCTGTTCCTGAGTTGTATTCTTTATAATAAACCAGTAATAAGTAAAGCATTTTCCTCAGTTCTGTGAGTCAACATAGTAAATTATTAAATTATTAAACATGAGCAGGGGTTGTGTGAACTTCCTGAATATAAAGCCCGTTAGTCAGAAATACTGGTGATAACCCTGAATTTATGACTGGTATTTGAAGTAAGGGCAGTCTTGTGGGACTGAGCCCTTAATTTTTGGGATCTGATACTGACTCCAGGTAGACAGTGCCGGAATTGAACTGAATTATGACACACCTAGCTGATGTCAGAGAATTGGAGAAATGTTGTTGGAAAAGTCACCATGCATTTAATGTCAGAAGTATTGTGAGTAAAAACAGTTCCTTTTTACTCTCAGAAGATGATGTCAAGTTTATACAGTAATAACCAAAAAAAAGGTGGTAGACTGGAATTTCCTCAATTTCTTGTCATGAAACCTCTTTCCCACATGTTATATAAAGCTGTTCCTTCAGCTATAAAATGCCAATCTTTCAGCCTGTGACCCATAACTCATCTCCCTCAAAATTTTCCTAAATTTGGTATGTGCTATTAGTTATGTATTTTCTTTCCTGTTCTTTTGTCCTCTTCCCCCCACTCTCTCTCTCTTTCTCTCCTGCTCCGCTAGAACTTTTTAATCAGCAAATTAACATGATATCCTCTCTAAGCTCACGCAAACACACACACACACACACACACACACACACACACACCCTCTCTCTCTCTCTCTCTATCACTTCACTTTCTCTTTCTTCCTCTTTCAGATATCAACTCTTCAGATTCAAACTATAGCAAATCAAAGATAAAATAGCCTAAAATAAGCTGGGAGGAAAAATATCTTGCCTGTAAAAAATAAGAATTACATTTGATTATCCTAATAAATCATGAAAGCAAGGAGGGAGTAGACTAAAATATTTAACGTTGAGAGAAAAAAGCTACCAACACAAAATTCTGTACTCCGTGAAATTACCCTTAATAAACAAAAATTGGGAAAATTTGTTCCCAGTAGACCTGCCTTGCAAGGAATATTTTTAAAAGTTTGCTAAAGAAAAATAAAATAATATAGGTCAGCAACTACAATATACATGAAGGAAAAGAGAAGAGAAGGAATAAAGAAAACAAAAACTTAAGTTTTGATTCTTAACTGATCTAAAAGATATTAGTTTGTTCTAAATGATAATGTCAACATAATATTGATTATATATGTTTACACATACATAAATATATATGCTTACATATAAGTGAAAAGAATGAAAGCAATAATATAAGGGATAGGAGAGAGGAAGTAGAAATGTTTAGTTATGACAGAGTATTTGCATTACATGTACAGAGGTATAACACTATTTGAGTGTAGACTTGGATTCATCGTAAATGTGTATTGCAAACTATAGAGCAAACATTAGAGTCAAAAAAAGAAATGAAACTGACATGCCAAGAAAGGAGATAAAACAGAATTATATAAAATGCTCAATTAAAATCTCAAAAGGCAGAAAAGAGTGGAACACAACAATAGGAACCAAGAACAAAGGCAACAAATAGAAAATGTGGTGGATATTTATCCAATTATATCAATGATCATTTTGAACATCAAAGGTCAAAATGATAACTTAAAAGACAGAGAGTGTCAGAGTGGATCAAAAAATAAGACGAAGCCTATGTTGTCTGCAACCACTTTAAATATAAAGGCACATATAGATTAAAAGTAAATTAATGAAAAAAATGCACCATGCTAATACCAATCAAAAAAAGCAGGAGTAGTTACATTAATTTAATACAGAGCAGACTTTAAAATGAAAAATATGAGGGATTAATAATGGCATTACACAATGATAAATGATAATGGCATTACACAATGACATTACGCAAAAGATTGTTATGTCTTCTGTTATGTCAGAAGACATAACAATCCTTAACATGTATGCACCTGACAACAGAGCATCAAACTAAATGAGCAAAAACTTATAAACTTCAAGGAGAACAGCAGTGAAAATCATTAAAGACATAATTGAACATTATTAATCAACTGGATTTAATTGATATCTACAGACTACATCATCCAACAACAGCAGAAACACACACACACATTTTTTTTCAAGCTCTTACGGACAACACTCCTGGGAGACAACATCCTGGGTCATAAAAGAACACCTGAACAAATTTTCAAAAATAATGTACAAACAATATCTGCCCTCAGAACACAATGAAAATAAACTAAAAATCAGTAACATACATGTAACTGGAATTCCCAAAATACAGAGAGATTGGACAACACTCTCATAAATAACACATGGGCCAAATAAGAAACTTCAAGAGAAAATTTAAAATATAAAGTAAATGAAAATGAAAATATAACTTATTGCTGTTTAGGGGATGTGGTAAAAGCAGTGCTTTGAGGAAAATTTAGAATATTAAATGAATATGTTAGAAAAGAAGAAAGATCAGATATCAATAATGTATGTTTCTACCTTAAAGAACTAGAAAAAGAAAAGCAAATTAAATCCTAGTAAGAAAAAGAAAAGAAATAATAAAAATTGGAGCAGAAATTATTAAAATTAAAATTAGGAAATCAATAAGAAAAACAAGTGGAATCAAAAGCTATTTCTTAGAAAAATTCAATACAATTAATAAAACTCTATTCTGGCTAACTAAGGAAAACCAGAGAGGACACAAGTTATTAGTATCAGAAATGCAACACAGAACATCACTACAGATCCCATGGACATTAAAAGAATAATCAAAGAGGATTATAAACAACTTTGTTCCCACAAAGTTGATAACGCAGATGAAATGGGCCAATTCCTTGAAAGATGCAATCAGCCAAAATTCACAAAATAATTTAAATATTGTCTAAATAGGCCTATAGCTAGTAAATAAATGGAATCAACAATTAACCTTCCAAAGCAGAAAGTTCCAGGCCAATGAGTTACTGATTAATTGTATCAAACAATTGAAGAATAAAGTATATGATTCTCCACAGTCTCTTCCAGACGGTAGAAGCAGAGAGAATACATCCAAACTCATTCTATGAGAACAGCATTACCCTAGTGCCAAAACCAGGCAAAGTCATCACAAGAAAAGAAAACTATAAACCAATATATCTCGTAAAAATGGATACAAAAATCCTCAACCAAATATTAGCAAAAGGAATCCAACAATGTATAAAAACAATTATACACAGTGACCCAGTGGGATTTATCACAGGTATGCAAGGCTGGTTCAACATTCAAAAATCAATTAATGTAATCCATCATATCAACAGGCTAAAAAGGAAAAAATCCACATGATCAAGTCAATAGATGCAGAAAAAAATTGACAAAATCCAAAGCAATTATGAAAAAAACTCTCAGTAAACTAGGAATAGAGGGAAACTTCCTCAAATTGATGCACATTATCTACAAAAAAAAATGTAGATAACATCATATTTAATGGAAGGCAACTAGAAACTTACTCTCTAAGATCTATGACAAGGATTATAACTGCTTTTATTACTCTTAAACATTGCACTTGAAACCCTAGCTAACAAAATAGGGCAAGAAAAGTAAATAAATGTATATGGATTGGGAAGGACGAATAAAGAATAAAATAAAGAATAAAACTATTTTTGTTTAAAAATGACGTGATTACCTTTACAGAAAATTGGAAGAAACAGATTTAAAATTTCCTGGAAATAATAAACAATTATAACAAGGTTTCAGGGTACAAGATTAATATACAAATGTCAACCTCTTACCTGTACATCAGTAATGAACAAGTTGTCTTAGTCTGTTTTGTGTTGCTCTAACGGAATACTCTTAGCTTCTGGTAAGGGCTTCATGCTGCATCTTAACATAGTGGAGAACTGGAAAGAAAAGCAGGCATGCCAAAGGTGTAAAACACAAAGTGCAACCTTGCTTTATAACAACTGGCTCTTGGGAAAACTAACCCAGTCTCAAGAGAACCAACCCAGTCTTGCAAGAAAGACATTAATCCACTTTATTGACATAATTATTTCTTAAAGGCCTCACCACCTCTCAATACCATTACAATGGCAATGAAATTTCAACATTAGTTTTGGTGGGGACAAACCCCATCCAAATCATAGCATGAGATAAATATTTATAAGCTGGACTTCATTAAAATAAAATCTTCTGCTCTGCAAAAGACAATGTCAAGTGATTGAGAAGACAAGCCACAGACTGAGAGAAAATACTTGAAGAAGACACGTGATAAAACACAAAGAGCTCTCAAAACCCAACAGTAAGTAAATAAACAACCTGATTATTATTTGTTTTTCTTGTGACAGAGTCTTGCTCTGTCACCTAGGCTAGAGTGCAGTGGCATCATCTCAGCTCACTGCAACATCCACCACCTGGATTCAAGCGATTCTTGTGACTCAGCCTCCCGCGTAGCTGGGACTACAAGTGTGCACCACCATGTCCAGCTAACTTTTGTATTTTTAGTAGAGATAGAGTTTCACCATGTTGGCCAGGCTGATCTCAAACTCCTGAACTCAACTGATTTGCCAACCTCAGTCTCCCAAAGTGCTGGGATTACAGGGGTGTGAGCCACTGTACTGGGCTTAACAACCTGATTTTTAAAATGGGCCGAAGACCATAACAGAAACCTCAACGAAGAGGATATACAGATGGCAAATAACCATATGAAAAGATGCAGCACCTCTTATGTCATCAGGAAAATGTGAATCAAGATGACAAGATATCTCTACACATCTATTAGTATGGCCAAAATCTAGAACACTGATGACACCCAATATTGGCTAGGATATAGAGCAACAGGAACTCTCATTCATTGCTGGTGGGAATGCAGAATTCTACAACACTTTGTGGGGATTTTTTATTGTTGTTTTTTTAAAAAATTATTTTTAATTTTTAGAGACAGGGGCTTGCTACGTTGTTCAGGCTGGAGTGCAGTGGCTACTCACAGACACAATTATAGCACATTACAGCCTCAAACTTCTGGGCTTAAGTGATCCTCCTGCCTCAGCCTCCCAAGTAGCTAGGACTATAGTATGTGCTACTGTGCCCTGTGCAGCCACTTTGAAAGACAGTTGGGTAGGGTCTTACAAAACTAAACTTACACCTACCATAAGGTCCAGCAATCAGGCTCTTCACTATTTATCCAAAGGAGTTGAAAACATATGTCCACACCAACACCTGCACATGGATGTTTATAACAGATATTTTTTTTTTTTGAGACGGAGTCTTGCTCTGTTGCCCAGGCTGGAGTGCAGTGGCGCGATCTCGGCTCACTGCAAGCTCCGCCTCCAGGGTTCACGCCATTCTCCTGCCTCAGCCTCCCGAGCAGCTGGGACTACAGGGGCCTGCCACCAAGCCCGGCTAATTTTTTTGTATTTTTAGCAGAGACTGGGTTTCACTGTGTTGGCCAGGATGGTCTCGATCTCCTGACCTCGTGATCTGCCTGCCTCGGCCTCCCAGAGTGCTGGGATTACAGGCGTGAGCCACCGCGCCTGGCCTATAACAGATTTATACATAATTGCCAAAACTTTTTAGCATCCAAAACTTTTTAGCATTCTTTAGTAGATAAACAAACTGTGGTACATCTACACAATGATATATTATTCAACAATAAAAGGTAATGACCTATCAAGCCACAAGGAAACATAGAGGAACACTGAAAGCATATTGCTAAGTGAAATAAGTGCATCTGAAATGAAGACATATTTTATGATTTCAACCATAAGACACTGTGGAAGAGCCAAAACCAAAGAGAAAATGAAAAGATCAATGGTTGCTAAGGATTTGGAGAAAGTGGGGAGGATCCAAGAGATGAAGCATAAGGGATTTTTAGGATAGTTAAACTATTCTGATACTTTTCTTTTTCTTGTTTGTTTGTTTGTTTTTTTTTGAGACAGAGTCTGGCTCTGTCGCCCAGGCTGGAGTGCAATGGCATGATCTCAGCTCACTGCAACCTCTGCCTCCCAGGTTCAAGCAATTCTCCTGCCTCATCCTCCCAAGTAGTTGGGATTACAGGCACCCTCCACCACGCCTGGCTGAGTTTTTGTATTGTTAGTAGAGACGGGGTTTCACCACGTTAGCCAGGCTGGTCTCGAGCTCCTAACCTCAGGTGATCCACTCGCCTTGACCTCCAAAAGTGCTGGAATTACAGGCGTGAGCCACTGTGCTTTTAATGGTGAATATATGTCATTATATATTTGACAAAACTCATAGAATGTACAACAGAATGAGTGAACTCTAATGTAAACTATGGACTTTGGTTAATAATAACCTATCAGTATTGGCTCATCAATTCTAAGAAATGTACCATTTTAGGTATTAATAACGAAGGTAATATGAGGACTGCATTCTTTCTGCTCCATTTCTCTGTAAACTTCAAACTGCTCTAAAAAGTCCATTAGTAATACATACGGAAAACATAGATATTATAAATAGTCTTTAGTTACTGCAGGGAAAAAAATAAGAAATTCCTTACCATCTTGCATCAGGGTTGTTGTGGTCTAAACGGGCTTCATAAATTAGTTGCATATTGAGTCTGAACCTTGAACAACAGATGTAGAAGGAGTCTGGAGGAAACAAATTATAATAAAAATATTGGCTAAAAATAAAAGTAATATCTTCATTATTCTCTATGTTAGTAAATAGATCAAAAGTAGGATGCTGAGAATTTTGTCATTAATTCAATTTCAGATGATAGTTAAGTTTCCTAGTAGCTGTCCTTGACCAAATTTCTCTTGCTCCTACTGAATTCTTTTGTAAGATGGGTGTACAGAGGCTTAGCAGCTGTTACTGTATGTCAGGAAGCAGCTTTATAACTCTGCCTCCCAATGAAATAAATACAAACCATAGGTTATAGAAGCTCCAGTTCTAACATCAGTGGTATGTGCTGGGAATGCTATAATGGCTACCACCTGATATATGCAGAGGGAAAGCAAAAACGAAAAATGTTCTGTGCACCTCCTGCGTTTCTGAAAAATGATAGCTTTCCCGCAAGACATATGGAAACAACTGCTTTCCCGAATATGTAATGTCTCAGGGTACAGACGAAGCCAGTCAGCTTGACAGATAACAGTGAGGAGAGAAATATATGAACATTTCTCTTTGGGCCAAGAAGTAATAATGTGTCTTACTAGAGTTACTGCCTCTATTAAAACTAGATACAGGATATTAATTGTATTACACAGGAGTTCAGAACAAGGGCTAGAGCACAGCTCCATAACAGCATGGAAACTGTCACTTCCCAGTTTAGCCTTCTCTAATTAAGTCCCAGTGGGGTCTCCTGTTCATTTCAGTAATGTGCACTTCTCAGGATAAATGATATCTAAATGCATAAAAAAACCCTGCACCTAAATTGGTCACCAATTCAAATTCTTACTAGACGGCAGTGACTGCAAATTGTTATACACACCTCCCATGTCTGTTTGTTTACAAGTATGCATTTGCCAGTTACTGGGCTCTCTCTGCCTCTTCCAAGCAGAACATCACTATAGTAAGTCCTCAAAGGGTAACCCAGAACCAAACACCAGCTATGTGGAGCTACATAGAAAATTCAGTCTGAGAGGATCCAAAACTAGAATGGTAGTTTTTTGTCAGTCATTTTTGCAGTATTCAATTTAGCTGGTTTGAGGGGAGCCTCTTTTCCTTGAAAACTTTCAACCAAGTTTAACATTTTTTCTTTGAAGATTCATGGAGCATTGAGAGAGAACGCAAATGTGCACATTGTGCGGGTGTCCTTACAAAGCTTCACGTCTCCACGCAACTGTGCCTACCTTTGTCTGTTGTGTTTTCATTTCTCTTCCCACTTTTAATGTGAATCTTGTTTTCTTTCTCAACCCAGGTACTCAAATACCCTTTAGGACTCATTTCTCCTTTCCTGGACCTTCTCTGACATTATTACATTTCAAAAGACAGGAAACAAACAAAACTGTGCCTCAGATTGAAAACCACAAAAACTGGTTATATCATATTATAGTGGATATTTATTTTCTTTTTTTCAAATCTTGAAGTCCCAAAAGTCAGGTAGAAATTACATTTTTAATTAAAAAAATCCATGAATTTAGACACAGAATTAAGGTTAACTAATTAGATGATAGAGAAAGACTGTCAGTTCCAGCATTAAGTAATCTACAAGGACTGACTTAATAACTGTGATGTATAATTGGGGCCATATCTGCCTTGAGCCAGTGGTGAATTGCTGATCTAAAAGGAAAAGTCGCAGACCCCATTCACCTGGACATTTTCATTCCCCAGAGCCTTTGACTATGTCCCTGCTGCATTATTAATAAAACAAGTGTGTCCTAGGAGTCCATCTATTTTACTATGGTATTATTCCATAGGGTGGTGTCCTAGGTTAATAAACCCTCATTAACAATTGCTAGCAGAACCCCTCAAGCTTTCCAGTGATTCATTTTACAATAATGGAAAGAACATCAGAATTTACCCCCATATCCAATTTCAAATGCCCTAAAGCAAAGAATAAGAGGTTGGAAACACAAAAAGTTATCTGCTGTCTTTTTGCAATGTCAAAAACATAATCATTCTAGGGGTCACTGTTAGTTACTGAATAACCTGTGTAGGATGAAAAGTGTGGCCATTTTAAAAGTGCATATTATTTTCTCATCTTGTGGAACACACCATTCTATCATATAGCTGATGGGAAGTATCTATGCTTTCTCCCTGGATTTTCTTAATTTCCCACACAGGTAGCAAGAAATTTTTCTTGCAGACTCCTAATATAAGCATGAAAATATTGTTGTGCCCCATTTTATTGTTACCATTAATTTAATGCTGGTACTATTTGTTAGAGTGAATAAAATGCATATTTATTTGGCACATGTTTGAAACTTTTTCATTGAGAAAGGTTGGTGATTATTAACACATGTTGTCTCAATAATTAAGAGGTAACTAGGTCATTAAGAACTCATTAATCTTCAGAAATTTTTATCCCACAGGATTTCATGTGAGAAGTTAGAGCTGGGAAAGAAATATGCTTTTCTCTTTGAAATGAAATAAAAGCCATTATAAAAATGGGCCTGGAATGTGGACTTCATTCAGTTTATATTTCAACTGCATAACAACTTACTACTTTAGAGTGTGTTCTTTCATTTAAAAAGGTGTCATATTTTCTAACAATGGTCTAGATATAAATATTTCTGTTAAATATGTATCAGAGTTGGCAAAAAAGTTATTGTCGTATCCATCTTAGTTTCATCTGTATTTGAGTAATAAAAACATTCTGTATTCCCTGTCAATTCCTTGTCATTCTCCGAGGGCTCTTCACACTTGCACGCCTTGTTTCCTACTCTTCTCTTTTTATGGAATTCCTTTTTGGTAAAAATTTTCTTTGCTACCTTTAACTTCTCCTCCAAGATTCAATGCTATTATATTGCTTCAAAACATAAAATCTTATTTCCTGAAATGTTGCACAACTGTAAGTTAAAGGTGTCTTAGCTTCAAAAGCAAAGACTTTCTTTTTGTTGAATACTTAGTACTGAGTGATCCTTTTTCTTACAGAGTTGAGGATTTTGGCATCTTGCTGAAGGCTTAAAGCCATTTCATCCAGGCAGTGCAGTAGACAGAAAAGCTCACAATGTTTTGCTGCAGAATGTTTTTAATGAAATAATGATCTTGGGAGATGTGAGGCTGACAGCTCAAGAGACAGAGATATCCTGATTAGCCAAAGGGCGAGCACAGCATGGGTCAACAGAAGGACACCAGCCTCTACTTGTGGCTTGGAGCAAATCGGCCCCAGTGAAAGTGCAGTCTGCCTCTTCACCCCATCTGCTAAGCCCAGGCAGCATGACCCGATTAGTACCAGCTGTGAGAGTGAGTGTTCTGATGGAGAGATAGTTCAACTCAAAGCTGAACCAACTCCCCAGCCTGCTTCCAGACAGCACCATTAGGCTGTAAAATCTCTGTATTCCTACTACCCTAATCAAGCCCAAATCAAAGACATACCCGGCAGCACATTACTTACTCTTTTGTCATCTTTTTTTGCCCAACATCAATAACGAAACCGCAAATCAAGTCTACTCAGTGTGCTATTTTGATCAAGAGGGGGGGAACAACCTTATCCTTTTATACTTCATAGTTCTAATTTGATTTTTGAAGGAGACAAATTTTCTCTGACAAACAGACATGATTATATAAAGGTTATTATGAAATCAATACATGCTGTTTTCTTAGTGCTCACATTAGACAATGGTCTATGGGAAATCTTTTTTTACAGAAAATGTTAATTAAAAAAATTTTTAGAGCCCCTGTATCTCATGCATCTATCTCTGAACTTCCAGGGAAAGCCAAGGGAAAGACATATACCTACAGTAAAATATAAAGGCACTATTCTATTGTAATGTGAATTGTGTCACCTGCAAAACCGTACACATCAGCAGCAGACACTTTTCTAAAAGAAGACTTACTTTGATATGCTCATTGTTTCCTTAGGGTGAGAAGTATTTGTATTAGTATTAAATGACTAATGAAAATATCTAATTTGAGAGAAAACCTGAGGCTTTAATTTATCAGGATGGCTAGCAATAATTTCAGTGTACATGAAAATGATTGCAAACCACATAAATATATCCCAATAAATCCACCATAAATGTATTCCCACATTAATTTCCTCTTAACTAGATCCCCCTAAAATGCCTACAGCCACTCCAACACCAGTGAACCTGGAGGAAATGTGATAGAAGGAAATCAGAGGGAATATCATACTCTTTTTAAATTTTTATGAAAATGTGAACATGTTAACAAAGTTTTAGTGTTCTTCTCAAGGCCATGGGAGGGTCTGATGTAAGAAAAGGCTCTGAAACTTTAAATTTTTCAGTTTTACAGTAAGTAGGTTTGCTTATGATTTTATATATGTGAAAGTTATATACTCAGGTAATTCCAGAAATTTCAATCCAAATATGATAGATCTGTTAACTTTTCAAGTATGCTAAGCAGTCTCATTGATAAGTACTCATTTCTCATCTACATCTTCAAAATATGAACTGGTGGAGGCAATGATGCCAACATTCCTCAGAATAGACTTCTCAGGCCAGTTCTGACCCTACCAGGGGGAACTTGGGAAGTCCTGTAGCATTAGCGCATGGACAAAGCTAGGCTGACTTGTAACGGGGAGACTAGATAGATCTTGCACTAAGGTCATAGGAGAAGATATACAGAGGGAGCCAGGTTTTGCCAGCGGATAGTTATCAGCATCTAGGAGCAGGCAGAGTTACTGGCAGATGAACTAACATCCAGAGGTCTCAGATGGCCTGTGAGTGAGTTGTCAATGTCTGGGCAGCACAACAGAGAACTGAATCAGGTGGGCTTGCTAGAAGAACCAAAAAGAATTGGAGGCACAAAGTTGGAATTGGGGAACAAGCATGGCCTCTGGTTTCCAAAGGTTTTTCTCCCAAGACAAAGTCTGACATGGTGAAATAGGTAAAAGCCCGTTAACAGAATTTGAGTTCAACATAAATGTGGGACTCAATGTCACTGCACATTAATTCACTGGATCCTTGTTTGAGTCTCCGGTACTTGAATGTCTGCCTTTTGAGCTGATTGGAACTGCCTGCCTTTTGAGCCGATTTAAATAAAGGGTTCTAATTTATTCCTGTTAATTCATTTACTAATGAATTAACATATATATTCAATACATATACATTCAATAAGTATGTATTTAAATGCTTAGTATGCCAGACATTGCTCTAGTTACAAAATCCCTAACCCGTAAAGTTTGTATTCTAGTGAGAAGGCATACAAACAAACTAAATAAATCATTTCAGATGACTGACAAGTGCTATGAAAAAAGTGGCCATCATATACATCATGGAATACTATGCAGCCTTAAAGAAGAATGAGTTCATGTCCTTTGCAGGGACATGGATGAAGCTGGAAACCATCATTCTCAGCAAACTAACACAGGAACAGAAAACCAAACACCACGTTCTCACTCATAAGTGGGAGTTCAACAATGAGAACACATGGACACAGGGAGGGGAACATCATACACAAGGGGGTGGGGGGCAAGGGGAGGGATAGCATTAGGAGAAATATCTAATGCAGATGACAGGTTGATGGGTGCAGCAAACCACCATGGCATGTGTAAACCTTTTTAACAAATCTGCATGTTTTGCATATGTATCCCGAACTTATAGTTAAAAAAAAAAAAAAATCCTGACCATAATGCCATAAGGCATGCCCAAGGTAGGGGGATTGTTTTCTCTAGAGGATGATCAGGAAAGGTGTCTCTGAAGAGATGCAACTCAAGCCAAGGCCTGACTGATCAGAGTTGGCCATAGGACAGTCTATGGGAATCGTCTTTCACACAGCGAAACAGAAAAGAAAATTTTGGCCTGTGATACGTTTTAGGAAGGAAAAAAACACTACTAAACAGGTAGCAGATGAGACATGATGTGATAGGAGAGAAATACAGAGAAAGAGGTATGGCATCAGAGCATGTGAGATTTTAGAGACCAAGTTAAGAAATAGGTACTTTAGTTGCCTAGGAAGTTATTGAAACTTTTAAAGTGGGAAAATAATAAAATTCTATTTATTTATTTTTTTGTTAAATTTTTTTGACATGGTCTTATTCTGTCACCCAAGCTGGAGTACAGTGGCACGATCACAGCTCACTGCAACCTCAAACTCCTAGACTCAAGCAATCCTCCCGCCTCAGCCTCCAGAGTAGCTGGGACCACAGGTATGCACCACCACACCCAGCTGACTTATTTCTATTTTTTTGTAGAAATGGGCTCTCACGCTGTTGCCCAGGCCTGTCTCATTCCTCACCTCTGAAAGTGCTGGGATTACAAGTGTGAGCCACTGCACCTGGCCCCTATTTATTCTTCAAAATGATCACTCACTCTAACTTCTGCATGAAAAATGTCAACATCTCTGCTTCCTATGTCTGAGTGTTTCCTCCTTCATTTCTGTTATAATTCCTCTAAGATAACTTCCTTCAGCTCAGCCCATGGAGTCCAGTTCTCTCTGGTTTGATTTTGTCCTATTGCAAACCAAGCCCAGTTCTGATGCTACAGAGAAATCCCTGAGCAAACAGAAAACCACTGAAGAGGAAGGACATGGCCGGGTGCAGTGGTGTCTAGCATCTGTTCCCCAGTGAGAATTTTGACAAATCCAAATTTGTTCAGAGGGAGAAAGAAATAATTTCTTATTCAGACTTCTGGGTAAATGTGACATAACCAGAGATCCTTATCTATTGCTTGGGTGGGGGTAAATGGCTGTCTTATATTAATTTTTCATTTAAAAAATCAAAATGCATCAACTGCAACTATGGTGCACATCATGTAATATCCTTCATTTCAAAAGGTGTCTCAGGATCTTTCAATATCACAGTTATAATTATGAACATGAGTGTCAACAAAAAATGGGTCTAGGTTCATGAAAACACATAATCATACGGCACACAGTCTTGAGGATAACAACAAACCAAACTCTCAGGCATTTGTGTATGAATAAGCTAAACTTTTCCAAATTCTTCTAGGATTGATAGCATATCAAAAGGTCTGTTAATTATTATATGGTGGGGAAAAATGAAGGTTTTTAATCTGCAAATTACACATTGATTCTAAAACTTTAAAATGCTTAGATTGTGTGTGTGCGTGTGTGTGTGTTTGAAGGCATGATTTAGCCTTTTAAATTTAGTCCATTACGTTGCACACTATGAACTTGCAAACTTAATAAAAAAGGAATGATCACACTTAGTATATATTAACAAACTGTAAAACTTGTTCAAGGATAGAATATTTAGCTCCAGCTAACAGAAACCCAAAACCAGATTAGGGTTGAAGGCCAAAAAGACAAAATGCGGCCTCCCTAAAGCCAGAGTGGAATATTGGGTGGAACAATGTGTATAAAGTATTGATGTTTTATATTCTCTGTACAGCAAGTTAATCCTATCAGGAATAAGTATTGATTTACATTTCACAGCTAACTTTCTTAGCTTCTGTCAAATTTAATGAACGTTGATGCAGATATTGATTTTTCTAGCAAAAGGAAATTAACGGGACATTGTCCAATTTTGACCTTTACTTAATGAGCCATGTATACATCAAAAGCCTTTTAAAACATGTTGTTGATCAGCCATGGAGCTTCAAAAGCAGTCTTCTGTACCCAAAATAAGAAGTAAAAATCAGACTTTTAATGATCCCCAAACTCATAATTACCGTAGAGAGAAAACTCAATAGAAATACAAAAGGGGGAGGTTCCCTTGCCACAATCTAGGCAGTGAGAAATCGTCAGTGGTTCACAGAATGTGGAAAATGGGCTATGTCTACTCATAATTCAAATACCGTCTTTTACAAGAACCTGAGAGGAATTTATTTCATAGCAATCCTGCATAAAACCTCTGGCCATGTACCTTTATGTCTAAAAATAAGTCCCCACACTTGTTTGTTTAAATCACTGCTACTAGAAGAAGCTTAACATTAGTTTTGATGTTCTTTGGACAAAAAATCAGTTCCAGATCATCGAATAGAAATCACATGCATGTCTTCTGATCTTCTGCTTCTAATTTGTTTCTTTTTTTTCCCCCTTTCCAATGTGTGCTTTGTCTATAGGATCAGGATGCATGGAAATAAATGTCTTGGTTTTCAACATAATTCCCCTCATAATTCCAAACAACGTACAGAAGGTGAAGAGTTAAAATCAAATGTTCCATTGAAGGCATATCTTGTTAATATAAACTCCAATAAACTTCTTTATTTTATAATATTGGATTTTTTAACATCAAACTGCTCAAAAGTAGTATCTATCACAAAATCTTGACCATAGGTTGTTATAGAAAAGCATGTGATAATGGTATTTGTTATAACATTATAACAAGATTTTGATAGCTTAAAATGGAAGTTATTATAGAACTACAAGTTCATAATTTTTGCTGAGTTAATAAATCTTGAAGCTTTCTGCAATGATTTGCTTGATATCTCTGTTTAGCTTAAGAATTTTTCAAACTCAATAGGTCCAAGGGCCAATGGAGTTCAGAGGTATCATAAAACTGGCCAAAGAACAGAGAACTAGAAAGTGGTAGAGAAAAGACAAACACAGGTGAACAGGTCACCGTTCAGGGGAGACACCAAGTCCCTTATAAAAGAAGGGAGGTCATTATCTGCTCTGCAGAAACAGTCAAGTGAGTTCTTTGACAACTGCATAACTCTGGTTTAAAATTTATAAAAAATGAAAAAATTCATATTATATATGGTTTTCAGATGAATGTCACCTAAAATGTATACCTGTAAATGAAACAGTGCATAAACATTTTCTTTCCTAAAATAAATCCATTTGGTCAGTGTTTATACTGTTTTGAATGCCAAGCTATAGTAGAATGAGGCCTAATGACTTTTATGAATATTCACAGATGATCATTCTTACTATACTCAAGAAAATATTGAGGGCCAGCTTTATCTAAAATTCCCTCAAGCGTATGTCCTAATTTTTTTTGCTCGAATCCTATCATGACTTCTTTTAAAAATCTGAGTTTTCATCGACAGTCCATATAAGACAGATAAAATTAAAACCAGAACGGAGGAGATGAACATCTTGTACAACTTCATGTGGCAAAAGATTCATAAAATTGAATAAGAAAATTATTTTTTTTCTGAGACGGAGTCTCGCTCTGTTGCCCAGGCTGGAGTGCAGTGGCCTGATCTCGGCTCACTGAAGCTCCGCCTCCCGGGTTCACGCCATTCTCCTGCTTCAGCCTCCTGACTAGCCGGGACTACAGGCGCCCGCCACCATGCCTGGCTAATTTTCTGTATTTTTAGTAGAGACGGGGTTTCACCATGTTAGCCAGGGTGGTCTTCATATCCTGACCTCGTGATCCGCCCGCCTCAGCCTCCCAAAGTACTGGGATTACAGGCGTGAGCCACCGCGCCCGGCCAAGAAAATTCTTTTAAATAAAAGACTTATCATCAAGACACTGACCTAATTTCAGGATCATTTCCCATTTCTGTCATCTACCTTATATCTAATACTGACTTTAGCTGTGTAAAAATAGTTGAAGTCAGTGATTCTTGACTAAGAAATTCCAGTCTGTATCTTGAATCACAGTCCTTTCAATTAGATTTCATTATATTTCCTAAAAAGTAGATTAAAAGAACATGCTTGTGTGGCGGAGAGATACAAAACAGTAGACACCAATTATCAAATGAGTTTTTAGAACAATTTTCCTTAGAAGTCTTAAAAATAGGTTAGGAAGTCATAGGGGATGGAAGAACTATGGTCTCTCCTGAAGCAGAGAATGGACTGTTTGACATCTTGAGATTCTTTCCAGTTCAGTGAGTCTGTAATTTTATTTCTTAAATGCACTAGCAATGTGTAAAGACCCTTTAAGAGTTATGGGATTGGGAATGATTTATTTTTATACTAATGATACATTGTGGTCACATGATGTTCTTCCTCTGAGGATCTTGGAGAGCTTTCTTGACATTTTCTAATTAACTTTCCTTGCATTTCTCAGAAGCATGCATAAGGCACATGTTATTATCCACATTGTAGGCATGGCAAAGCTGAGTGCCTAAGGATACAAAAAAAAAGTGAATCCTATACTTAAAAAGCCTGAATACTCAAATTAACAAAAGACTTGCTGCATTTCTTACTAAGGCAGAATTTACAGAGAAGGTGGCTGCACATAATCCTAGGTCTCTGAGAGATGAAAAGAGAAAAAACTAGCAATTTTGAGAGAACTGTCTGGAATCTTATGCATGGTCCTGGATCATCACAGTACGAGTATCCAGGGGTGATCCTGAAGGGGTGATTCAAGGGAAAAACCCAAATCAAAGCCAACGAATGGTACAAGTTATCTATAGGGTGGATTCCATTTACCTTATCTAGTTATTTGGTTGTATTTACAAAGTTGTAATTTTCCAAGTCCCATTAATATTTATTAAGAAGTACTGACAGCATGGAAAAATATGAATGTTAATTTAAAGCCAAGTTGTTGTGAACAAGGCCTCTTTCTGCTTGAATGTGCCACACACTGTAACTCAAATGATGCATTTCATCCTCACAATAATCCTCATGCTAATGTAGGAACTGAGGTTCAAACAAACAACTCCATGAAAATCGTAAGTATTTATTGACAGAGAATGTTTTTGCCTACTTTTATTTCTGACTCCCAAAACGTGAAATTTTCAAAGCATTTTTTAAGAGGGAGGAAAAGTAGTAATAGAGAAATATGTGTGGTTTTAGTATATTTCATTGTCTGTTTTTAAATTTGAGATAAAATTGTCACGAAAATATAAGACAAACAGGGAAATCTAATTTTCTGTTTCATTTGTTTATTCTATTTATTTTTTAAAGAATAAAACAAACTTGTGATTGAGGAGGAAACATATAATAAACAGCTAAGAATTATCCTGACTGAAATGCAGTGGAATCACACATTTTTTACCCTAAGTTACAAAGGCTTGGATCTTGTATTTATGCAGTGGTAAAAGAGGTAGAGATACACACAAACATAGCAAGGGAGACAACACAAGAGAGAAAGCATATAGATGAGAAAGAAACAAAGAAGGAAACAAAGAAGGAAGGAAGGAAGAAAGAGAAAGAGAGAGAGAGAGAGAGAGAGGGAGAGAGGGAGGGAGAAGGGAAGGGAAGGAAGGGGAAGGAGAAGGGAAGGGGAAGGAGAAGGGAAGGGAATGGAAGGAAGAGGAAGGAGAAGGGAAGGGAAGGAAGGAGAAAGGAAGGGAAAGAAGGGGAAGGAGAAGGGAAGGAAAGGGAAGGGAAGGAAAGGGAAGGAAGGAGGGAGGAAGGAGGGTGATAGACACATTAGATAGGTAGGTGGGGGGAGGGGGGAGAGGGGGGGAGAGAGAGAGGGGGAGGGGGCGGGGGGGAAGAGATGGGGAAGAGGGGGGGAGAGATGGGGGAAGGGGGGGAGAGAGGGGGGAGAGAGAGGGAGGGGGAGAGACAGGGAGGGGAGAGAGAGAGAGGGAGAGGGGACAGAGAGAGAGGGAGGGGGGACAGAGAGAGAGGGAGGGGGGAGGGAGGGAGGGAGGGAGAGAGGGAGGGAGAGAGGGAGGGAGGGAGGGAGAGAGGGAGAGAGAGAGGGAGGGAGGGAGAGACAGAGGGAGGGAGGGAGGGAGAGAGAGAGGGAGAGAGAGAGGGAGGGAGGGAAAGGGAGGGAGGGAGAGAGGGAGAGAGGGAAAGACAGAGACAAAGAGAAAGACAGAGAGACTTAGCTGTCAGAGAGAATAGTGTCCCTTTAAGTTTAACCCAGTTTCTCCTATAGAATAACAACTGTGAACTCAGAGCAAAATATAGACATCAACTGCTTGAAAGTTCCAGAGAGTGAATAAAGAGAGCCAAACTGAGAGTGAATAAAGAGAGTGAATAAAGAGAATTCCAGAGAGTGAATAAAGAGAGCCAAATAAAGAGAGTGAATAAAGAGAGCCAAATATAAAGAGAAATATTTAGAAAAAGGGAATTGTAATAGATAGAATTGTGTTCCCCAAAAGATTTGTTCAAGTTCTAACCCCTGATGCCTGTGAATGTATTTTCAAATATTTGTTTCAAAATAGGCCTTTGCACATATAATCAGGTTAGAATGAGGTCATATGGGAAAACTAGGTTTCTTATAAAAATTTGGCAATAGAGACACACAGGAAGAATGCCACATGAGGATGGAGGCAGAGATTGGAACGATGTGTCTACAAACTAAGGATTGCTGGGGACTGCTGGCAAACACTAGAAGCCAGGGAAAGGCAAAGAAGGATCCTTACATCGATTCTCCAGAGAGAGAAAGGCCCTGTTGACATGTTAATTTTGGACTTCTAGCTTCCAGAACTGTGAGAGGATAAGTTTCTTATGTTTTTAGTCACCATATTCACGGTAATTTGTTATGGCAACGCTAGGAAATTAATACAGTACTGATACATAGTTTCCTATTTTACAGTTTTTCCCAAGTGCAGTTCCTGGTATCCCACGTGAGACAGCTACAACTCCAACAGTAAAACCTCAACATTGCTGGCTTGATGAATCAGAACAGAGTTTTGGGCAACCATATTCCTTGAAATTGAAAGCACAAATTCCAGAAAGGAGAAAGTAAGTGGGGGAGGACCCTTAAAGTCTGTGTATACGATCTGCCTAAGTCTCTGGCTGACCCTTGCACAGCCCATGAATAATGCAAACTACAAGCAGCCCTGGTAAGACTAAAAACACTGAACTGAAATTTGAGCTGCCATCACCTACAAGAAGAAAAGAAAAACACCAGAAGTTTCATTTTGAGTGAAGCCAAGTTAACAGTTTGCAAAAACAAACACAAAACTCTTTAGAGGAATATAATAGGTCCAGAGTTTCGATGAGATGTCATTTACAATGTCCAGCATATAATTCAAAATGACTCAATAGAAGAAGAAACAGGAAAACATCAGCTATTCTATACAGAACAATGAACAGAGACCAAACCCAAGATGACACAAATCATAGAATTAGCACATAAGCAGTTTTTATTGATAGGCTCAAGGCGGTAAATGAAAATCTGCTCGAATTGATGCCCCCACCCCAAAAAAAAAATCCCAGTAGAGAAAAAGAAAATATTAAAAAAATCTAATGGAAATTCTGGAATTGAGAAATATATTTAAAGTTTTAAAAAAATCACTGGATGTGACAATTCAATAGAAATGAAAAACATGAAAAAAAACAGAAATCAAAAATGAGCAGCACCACAGGAAGTTGTAAGATGAACAAAAGATAAATCAAATATGTAGTTGGAGACTCAGAAAGAAAAGAGAGAGAAAATGGAGAAAATATACTAGAAGAAATAATGGCTGAAAATTCAGCAAACTGTATTAAAGACAAAAAATTATAGATTCAAGAAGCTTAGCAAACACCAAGCAAAATTAATACAAAGAAAATCTCACTTAACATATCAAACTATGGTATTTTCATGTTAATTTTAAAAGATCAATTTCTTTTTAAAAAACTACCAGAATTTTGATTAGGATTACTTTGAATTTTTAGAGAAAATTGAGAAGAAATGAAAACAATTTTGAGATTTTCAATGCATGAACAAAGTACATCACTCCATTTTTTTAGCTTTTCTTTAAATTCTCTCAGCAATGTTTTGGAGTTTTCAGTGTACAAGTCTTCCATCTGTTTTGCCAAATTTAGTCTCAAATATTTCACATTTTTGATATATTTAAATGTTTAAACTTATATTTCAATTTCCAATTAAATACTGATAGCATATACAAATAAAATTTACGTGTTGACTTAGTATTCTGTCACCTTGCTAAGATCACACATTACTTCCAAGAAGCTTTTTGTAGATTTCTTATGATTTTTCTATTTAGAGAATAATGTTGTCTGCAAATAAAAGTTTTATTTCTCTTTCCTAAGGCAGGGTGTGGTGGCTCATGCCTGTAATCCCAGAAGTTTGGGAGGCCAAGGCAGATGAATCTCTTGAGCTCAGGAGTTCAAGGCCAGCCTGAGCAACATGGTGAAACCCCATCTCTACCAAACCTAAAATTAAAAAAAAAAAATTAGCCGGACATAGTGGCATGCGCCTGTAGTCCCAGGTATGCAGGAGGCTGAGGTAGGAGGATTGCTTGAGCCTAGGAGGCTGAGGTTGCAGGGAGATATGCCACCGTACTCCAGCTTGGGCAACACAGTGAAACTGGGTCTCAAAAAAAAAAAAAAAAAAATTGAAAGTTGTATTTCTCCTTCCCAAACTGAACACCTTTTATTTCCTTTTCTTGCTTTATCTTTTTATCTTTATCCTTGCTAGGATCTCCAATAAAATGGTAAATAGAAGTGGTGAGACTCCTTGCTTTGTTCTGGATTAGAAGCGACCAGGCACGTTGGCGCATGCCTATAATCTCAGCACTTTGGGAGGCCAAGTCAGGGGGATCACTTGAACACAGGGGTTCAAGATCAGCCTAGCAACATAAATGAGACCTTGTCTCTACAAAAAGTAAAAAAAAAAAATTATCTGGGCATGGCGGTGCATGACTTTAGTCCCAGATACCTGGGAGGCTGAGGTGGGAGGATTGCTTAAGCCTGGGAAGTCAAGGTTGCAGTGAGCAGTCACTGTACTCCAGTCAGGGTGACAGAGAGAGAACCTGATGAAAGAAAAGAGAGAAAGAAAGAGAGAAAGAGAGGAAGGAGGGAAGGAAGAGAGGAAGGGAGAGAGGAAGGAAGGGAGAGAGGAAGGAAGGAAGAGAGGAAGGGAGAGAGGAAGGAAGGAAGGGAGGAAGGGAGAGAGGAAGGAAGGAAGGGAGAGAGGAAGGAAGGAAGGGAGGAAGGGAGAGAGGAAGGAAGGAAGGAAGGGAGGAAGGGAGAGAGGAAGGAAGGAAGGGAGGAAGGGAGAGAGGAAGGAAGGAAGGGAGAGAGGAAGGGAGGAAGGGAGGAAGGGAGAGAGGAAGGAAGGAAGGGAGGAAGGGAGGAAAGAAGGGAGGAAAGAAGGGAGGAAAGAAGGGAGGAAGGAAGGGGGGAAAGAAGAGAGGAAGGAAGACAGGAAGGGAGGGAGGGAGGGCGAGCAAGCAAAGCATTCTATCTTTCGCCACTAAATGACGTGTTACCTCTAATTTTTTCATAAATGTACTTTATGAAGGAAAGGTTAAAGAAGTTCCCTTCTATTTCTTGTCTGTTGAGAGTTATTTTTAAAATACCAAATGAATATTGAATTTTGTCAAATGCTTTTTTGTCTCTACTGACGTAAGTATTTCTTTTTAAGTTTGTGAATATAATGAATTAAATTGATCGAGTTTTTCACACATTAACTTTACATTTCTTGAGATAAATCCTATTTGGACATAAAGGGTTATAATTTTTATATATGGCTGAATGTAACTTAATTTTTGTAAGAATTTTTGAAACTTTGAGATATTGGTCTGTCCTTTTTTTATTTTTGTAATGTATGGGTTTCATTTTGGTATCTGGGTAATTCTAACCTCAAAAAAAAAGTTGGAATGTTTACTATTATCTTTTGCATTCTGGAAAAATATGGGTAGAATTGTAATTATTTATTCCTTAAATATTTGATAGAATTCAACAGTGAAAATCATTTAGTCCTGAAATTTTCATTTCAACAAGGTTTTAGATTACAAATTCAGTTTTTTAAATCAATATTAAGGCTATTTAGGCTATTTCATCTTGAATAAACTTTTGCAGTTTGTGTCTTTCAGTTAGTTTGTCCTTTTCATCTACAGTCATGTGTCATTTAACAAAGAGAGTAAGTTCTGAGAGATGCATCCTTAGTCAAATCTGTCATTGTGCAAATATCATAGGGTGTCGTTACACACACCTAGATGGTAGAGCCTACTTACTACACATCAAGGCTATATGGTATAACCTCTTGCTCCTAGACTACAAGTCTGTACAGCACGTTACTGTACTGAATATTGTAAGCAATTAGAACACAATATTTGTGTATCTTAACATAGAAAAGGTGCAGCAAAAACATGGAATTATAATTTTATGGAACTATCATTATATATGTGGTCCGTCATTGACTGTCATGCATTGCATGACTGTATATGGTGACATTATTCTGATAAGATTATAATACTTGAGTATTACCCTTGTAATATTTGTATTATCTGTAATGATTCCTTTTATTCCTGATAACTATTTGTGTCTTCTCCCCTTTTCTCTTAGTCTGGATAGATGTTTTCAATTACATTGATATTTTTGTGTAATCAGCATTGCTTGCTTTAAATTTTCTCTATTACTCTGTATTCTACTTCATTTATTTTTGTTATCTTTATTAACTTCCTTCTGTTTAATTACGACCTAATTACTCTTGGTTTCCTAATTTCCAAAGGTGTTACCTTAGATAATTGCTTTAAAATGTTTCTTCTAATATAAACACGTAATATTATAAATTCCCCTCTAATAACCTCTTTAGTTGCATTCCATAAATTCAAATATGTTTTTTTGTTTTTCAAAGTATTTTCTGTTTCCTCTTGTGATGTGAATGTGTGTGTGTGTGCATGCACTCATGGTGTTGAATAGGTTAATTAGCTTGTGATTAGTACATAATGTATGTGTATATATATACATATATATGATTATTACGTGTGTGTGTGTATATATATATATATACACACACACATATCTCAAAACATGAAGTTGTACACCTTGAATATATACATTTTTATTTGTTAATTTTACTTCAATAAAGCTGGGGGCAAACCCCCATCACTTTGCTTTTGGTTTTTAGTTTTACTTTGCTGAAATCATAAAGCATATATGATTTTAATCTTTTAACATTTATTGAATTTTATCATCCAGAAAATGATACAACTTGGTAAATATTCCACTGCATTTAATGTAAATTTGTATTCAGCTATTGTTGAGGACAGTGTTTCATAAATATTAAATAGCTCAAATCTGTTGGAAGCTTTACTGCTTACCATCGTTTTTTCTTTGCGTTACCATTGCCATAATTCCTGTTTACCTGTCTTCAAGATCACTGATTGGTTTTCTTTTGCTGTATCCAGTCTGCTTGTAGGCTAATTGATGAAATTACTTATTTCTGATATGGTATTTTTCATTTCTAGCATTTCCATTTGACTCCTTCGTAAAGTTGTAATCTCTCTGAAAGTCCTTATCTGTTCATGCATCCCATTTATCTCATCTACTATGCCGTTAAACAAATTATAGTTAGTTTTAAATTACTGTGTAATAATTCCAGCCACTAGATGATTTCTCAATCTGTTTTGCCTCTGGATTACTTTTGCCTCTGGACAATGAGGTTTTTTTTTTCTTGTTTTATTTTGTCTCTCCTAAGTTTTTGTTGAATGGTAGACATGGTGTACAGACAGACTGATATAAAAAGGATTTATTCCTGGAAATGGGCATGCTTCTTTCAGGTCATTGGTACACTTGGTTCAATCATTCCAGTAGCTGTCTTGTGTTTGGTTGTATGTTGCTCTAGTTAATTTCAGTCTACCAGACTTCAAGATTCTCCAGTGGTAGATGACTGTTACTTTTACTTACTGTGAAGCCTGGAGTCCTAAAATCTTATCTTTGTATTCCTCCTCCACCTCCAGCTTTCAGCAAGATCTCCAGCCACACTCTAGCCCTTTCCCCAGGGTATATTGCTGCTGACTTTTACTTGGTGCAGGGCTTGAGGTAGGGGCAGGTGTGTTTCTCAGCTCTTCTGTTCCAACATCAGTCTTCAGCAGGCCATGAGCACCTGAGCATCAAAGAATGAGATTTCTCAGCATTTTTGTTCCATTCCCACTGTAAAACAAGCTCTGCTTTCTCCTCAAATGCACAGTCTAAAGAGTGAGTACCACACCCCTATTCCATGCCAGTCAAACTCTGCCCTATATTGATAGGTGCTTCTGCTTGAATGCTTGTGTTCCCCCCAAAATTCATATGCTAAATCCCAATGACCCATGTGATGATATTTGGAGGTGGGGCCTTTGGAAGGTGATTGGGTCTTGAGTGTAGAGCCCTCACAGTAGGATTAGTGCCCCTCTAAAAAAGAGACTCCAGCAAGCTCATTCACCCCTTTCACCAAGGACACAGTGAAAAGATGATCCCAGGAAGCAGGCTGTCACCAGACACTAAATATGCTGGTGCCTTGGTCTTAGACTTCCCAGCCTCCAAAACCATGATGAATCAATTTCTGTTTTTTATAAGCCACCCAGTCTGTGGCATTCTCTCATAGCAGTGTAAACGGACTAAGACAATGGGGGTATTTGGAGAGAATGACTTTTCTGCCTCTCCCTAGCAAAAGAAGACCTCTACCCTGTACCAATCCAGAACCCTGGGTACCAGTTGGTTTGCAGTCCCTCTGTATTAGTAGATGTTTTTGCATAATATCAGTGCACTGTAGAGGTAGATTTCCGTCAATGATAGCAGACCTATGCCTAAAATCAAGGTAGAGACTGGGAAAGTAAGAGGATATCTTTCCCTTTCTCCAAAAGCAAATAGCCTTTTTTTCTCATGTCTGAGCAGGGTCTGAGGTGGGCAGGAGCAGCTGTTCATCATCTTGTAATCATGTAGCTCTTGGAACATAGATAGGCTTCTCCAGGTAACTCTTCTCCATGTTTAAACAGAGGCAGGATCTGTACACCTGTGCTACCAAATGGGTTCATGATTTTTGTGTATGAGTTGTTCTTCCTGGACAATCCATCTGGACATTTCATTTCTTTCTGCCCTATATCATGGTAAGGTCACAATCGACCACATAAATGGTATCAGACTTTAACGTGTTTCATATAATAATTCAATTCAGAAACATGAGACAGACTACTTTCACATCACAAATTTAAACCTCCATCAAAACCCTCTTTGTGTCTATCAGTAATGTTTATCTGCATTAACAGATGTGCTAAGATTTTAAGGACAGGTATTCTGTCTTGAGTCCCTTCTAGTCCAAAAGTGAACTGTATTTGTTTCCCTTCCACCTTTAAATTTTTGTGTTGCATATATTTATGGGGCACAACATGATCTTTTTATAAATGTATACATTGTTTAATGATTACATCAAGCTATTTAATATATCCATCACATCACACTTTTTTGTGGTGGGAAGATTTGAAATCAACTCTCTTAGTAATCTTCAAGTATACAGTATACCATTATTAATTATATTCACCATGCTGTACAATTGATCTCTGGAAATTATTCATTCTAATGAAACATTGTCCCTTTGATTAACATCTCTTCATCTCCACTTTTACAAAAGTGAATTGCACTTATAAGCCATCAAAAATGTTTATTAAATGAATTTGAAAATAATGGGAAAAATGAGGGTTTCATACTAGCAGTTCTCTTTTCTTTATTCCACTCTTTTATGTAAACACCCAGTGGAATCCAGTGGACAATGAGTAGTAAGTGGGCACACTTTTGAGTGATGCTTCTGGAAATCTTACGCTACTATTTTAACCCATACTCAGTCTTTAATCACTGGCTAATATTTTAGTTGTGGTTTCCTTGCCTACTTTTATAGCAGCTGCCTTATGTCCCCATACTTGCCAAAGATAAAATATCCATGTGACCTACCTCTCCTTGCAGGGTCTTATTACTTTTGGGATTCAGTTCATTAGATCGCCTCTGATGTGAGCTTTGTGATGGGCTAAAGAATATGAATTTTAAAAATTAGACAGCTTTTTCTTATTATTATTTCTCTGTAGCTTTCTACAGCCTTAGTAAGAATGAAAATAAGTGTAAATTATTAACAAACACATTTAAGCTTATATTATTCCTATATGCATCAAAAGCAATTCATATCTGTATTAGTAAGTAGGGCTCTATTTTGCTGTGATAACAAATAACTCCGCAGTATCACTAGCTTTAAACAACATTCAAACTACTTGTCCATTTTAGGATGGCAAAACATCTGCTCAGATTTATTTTCCCACTAGGATCTAGGCCGACAGAGCAGTCTCCGTCTGGGATTTTTCAGTTTATTATGGCAGAGAGAGTTGAATTGAATGTGAATAGTAAAGTGAATATAATTTTCATCACTAGAGAATGGACTCAATCATCTTTTCATAAATCCTTTTATTATCTTTGTAAGTCTACAATTTCTTCTAAAACTGCACCTAAAAATCGTAGCCAAGGTTTGGATACTTAGAAGAGACTAGATTAATATCAGCTCTTAGAGACCTTGGGTCTAAAAACAAGGCTCGTTTCTGTTTGGGTGTGTGTTACACATTTTACCATGTTCTTGAGTTTACTGATAGGAATACAGACTCTACTTCCAATCAGACAATGCTTTAGCCAAATATATAGCTGGAGGGATATTAGGTTCAGTTCTTTATTCTGAGGATACAGTGGGTTGGAAAAATCATGAGAATCAAGAAGATTTTCAGGATATAAAATAAGTACTTTTTGGGAAAACAATAAACTATGTGATTTTACTTGGCAAACTGAAAGCTGAGGAGAGATTTAGTAAAAATCGCAGGATCAGAAGGGCCATCTGTTTAGATTTTATTTACTTATCTATTCTCTCATTTCATTTCTAGTGAAGATACTTCCATTTTAGAAAGATAAAATGGGCTCCTAATAAAAAAGCAGAAATTTAAGTTAGAAGTGAGAAAAATCTTCTGGCAGCAAAGTTTATTAAATCGTGCAGTGACTCTCCAAGTCAGTTTTGCAACTTCTTTGCTAAAGTTCTTTAAAACTAAGTTAGTATCTCATCATTGAGTTTCTTTAAATTATTGTCTAGAGGAATGGATTCTGACCTCATGAGATCCTTTCCTATTCAAACATTTTATTTCTTATTGAAAAAAAATACACAGCTTGCTTTTGAATAATGCTTTAACTTTTTGAAAAGGCTTAACATTCATGTTCTGATTTGATTATTACAACTCTATTCAGTAGGTCTAGAAGATTTTTCTCTTAAATAAGGAAACATACACAAAGAGATGACACAGCCTGTTAAGTGGCACACATGCGACCAGAACTTGTTCTCTTTGAACACTTCAATCCTGACTTGATTCTTTACCATAGTGTCTTTAGTTTGATGTTAAATCTTGGTAACAAACAGGAATGATTTTAATATCTAGATGAAGAATTCTAGATATTAGAATGATAAATATTTGAGATCATTAAGCCCAATTAGAATATTCCACATACAACATAAAATTATAATTATGTGTGTGTACATCAATAGATATATTCTACTATGACAGTCATGTGTTACTTGAAGAAAGAAATGTGTTCTGAGCAATGTGTCCTTAGTGATTTCATTATTGTGCAAACATCATACGGTGCACTTTCGCAAGCCTAGACAGCAGAGCCTACTACACAGCTAGGCTGTATGTTATAGCCTATTGCTCCTGGGCTACAAACCTGCACAGCATGTTACTGTATGGAATACTGCAGGCAACCGTAACACAATGGGAAGTATGTCTGTATCTAAACATATCTAAACATAGAACAAGTACAGTAAAAATATGGGATTTTAATCTTACGGGACCAGCATTACATATGCAGTTCATAGTTCATCAAAACATCACTATGAGGCGCGTGACTGTATGTATATGCGTATGTATACATTTATGTACATGTTTTGAACAAAATATTGTTTAATAAACAGGATTTATATCTCAAATGATACAAAGTTTCATTGTCAATATTCTCCTTCCCATCTCATAGGCTCCACTGTGAAATGTATCTCAGGATCTATATTCAAGAGCCTTCCATTTCAACCAGATAGACTCCTATCCCTGGCATTTGAACAGAAGGTTAAGCTTGTAAGTTGACTCCCTCAGTGCTAATATTTTTTCTGAAAACTTAATCAGACAATTTGATGGATCAGGTGGCCTCTAAAAGTCTACCAACTCTTAAATATCTCAATCTTTTAGGTTAAACTTTCCTGTTACTTTATATTTGCAGCCTCCTAAACCCAACTATTCATGGAGATCCATAAGACATCAACATATGTAGCATTATGCCAAAGGCATTTTAAGCTTTTCCATTTTCCACAGAATTTGAACTTTTAAAATAACAACCCCCCCCCCACCATCTTTTATTTTTTACCTACAGACAAGAAACTTTCAGCAAAACACTTGAACGTACGACGTTGTGTTTCAGCAGTGATGGAGTGTGATTTGACTGGAAATATTGCCTTTGCTGTTACGGTGTTTGTGTACTGAGTTCCTGGCAGGATAATTCTGGCAGTAGAAAAAAAAGAATTCCATCTATAGAGTATTTTTTCAGGCATTATCAGTGCCAGCCATGGTTTTAGGTTACATTTTAACGGTGAGGTGGGGAGAGATTGCCCCAGATGGTGGATGTAAAATGTGCCATAAATTTTAATGAAGCAAATAAGTCACTAATAACCCTACTGCTAACACTGCTATGTTTGGGGCCGACCTTAATAAAGGAAAATTAAAAAGGCACATGTAGCCTTTAAACAAGTGCCTAAGAAGCCTAATATGATTTACTAATTCAGCTATTCACACTCTGATTGCATGGCCCCTGGTCATCTGCTCAAGTACAGCTGCTTCATGTGAAATAAATAAATAAATAAAAAGTTTATTGACCACCAGATGTCCCAGCCTGTAATGGGTGCTGGCAGATTTCAGGTCACTCAGAGTTCAGGCAGATTTACTAAATATCCTTATATTTTTGGTAGCAACACTACCTTGGAAATCATACCTATATAATTGTTTCAGTCAGAGCCCAGAGATAACTTTCTTGCCCTCTTTCAGTCGTGAGATCTTAACCAATGGATCTCTTTTTTGTGAAGCAAAGTCTAACAGATAGGCTGTTGGTTAAGGATGCTGGGAAAGGACATATGGGACCTTTTCATTTTTCATTAAAAACTTGGCAGAAGATTCGTGAGGCTAGGCGTCATTAAGCCTTTACCAACCCAAGCAATTCACTTGGATATGGTAACTGAGAACCATTTTCTAGTTGAGATAACTCATGTACAGGGGGGGTCACATGACTCAACAACACACAGAGCACAGAAGAGAACCAACAATCATAGGCAATCCTCTTAGACCACATGATGCAATAATGTGCATGTATAGTGTACATATGTGATAATGTACTAATGTTTCTATGCATCATTAAATTCATAGCAAAAAGAAAAAAACTTCAAAGATGAGATTAAGAAATGAAATGATTAGTATTTTAAAGTATCTGACTAAGTGTGATAGCTTCACCATTCTTACACAATATCTAAAACCAGAATATATAGTTAAGGCAATGCTCATCATTAATCATGGTGGATACAAATCTACATTTCAAAAAAAATCTTCTTTATAATATTAATTCTAGTGTGCCAATTCCTTCTCAGATCCGATTATGCCATCCGCCTCCTGAAATCATTGATGAAGAGCTGAAATGAGGTGGACAAGTGCCAGTTCTGCAATCTCCTATTTTTTGCTGTCATTATGTGATTCAAATTATCTTTGACCCAGAGTTACTCCTCAAGACTCTGTTTAAGCCCCTTGTCCATTTCATAAGGATTTAGCTTAGTTAAAAGAAGATAATGTCATTTAAAATCCCAGTTAATTAGGAGCATGCAAATTGCAACATATCACACAATTTCAGAAGCCAACAACAGTGTGAAGACACCATTGGCTGTCCCTCTGTGGGGGTGGGCACTCCCTCCTGACACCTCACCTACTCTACAACACACGGGGTTTCCAGCAGATGGATAGAATGGGGACCCCAGAGTCGATCAGCTCACATATTATGTATACTTCCTTTATTACATCTAATTCTTTATTTTTAGATAAAAATGAATATCAACAGAAGTTCTGGGTTTGTTTTCCTCACATTCAACATTAGCAATTACCATCTTGGGCCATAAATGACCTCCAGGTGGCCTTAACATCAACACACCCACAGTCTTTAGTCCAATGCCACATATCTCTCTGCCTAGTCCAGTAAAATATTCCTGTTTCTCAACATAATCCAGTTACTCTTCCAAAACAACTCAACATTTCAGGTGGTGTTAAATTACATATTCCAGAACTGCTTGATACAGATTAAAAGCCACATGCAGCCAGGAAAACACAAGAGATACTATGGCAGATATGCATGAACTTTGGTCAATAAGTCTGAATTTGATATTTTAGTGCCAAATATAATGAAAGGGAAAGTTCAGATATGTCCATGCATGTGTGTGTATGGTTTTGCATTCTAGGTTTCAACACACACAAAAATTGTGGCAATCATTTGTTATATAACAGGGGACTTCAATAGCATGTCGGGTTTGCTTTTGTTTGCTTTTTACACAGGATTTTTTAGCTCATATGATCTATTTTGACTGTAAACTTGTTTATCTATGTAGATAGTTTTCCTTTTACTACCTTAATCCCAAGCAAGAAAAAATATGTCACTTCATCCATACACGCAGACAATCCAAACTGACACTGCTCCAGTCACATAAACTCACATCTATCCACAAACACAGAAACTAAAGAAAGCCTGCTTCTCCCAGTTACCAGTAAAACTTTAAATACAAATGAGAACCATGTCCCATCAAACTTAAAGTGGTAGTGCTTCAGACTTTTATCAGGGTTATTACTGATTATGTTAACCATCCCGGTGGAAAAAGGAAAGAAAATCTCTGCTGTTTACTAATATTTTTGTATATGAACAAATTGTTTACGATTATTTACAGTCATTCGTCATTTCCCACCCAGGCTCTCCAAACTTTTTCCACCTTAAATCTTTGAGTTAATTTTCACCAAAGCATGTATATTCCAGGATTTTTTTCATTTCCTATTTGAAGGCAAAAACATTTGTTTCTGTAAAGCACGCTGATGAAAATTCAGAAATATTCAGTTTTCTAAAATGTTTAATTTCAAATAGTGATATGTCAGAGGATAATAGACTAAGACATATGCTATATTTCCAATGCAAAATTATTTTAATATAATTAATTTTAAATCAGGGTGATGAGGAGGAAGTAGATTGCATGTTTAAGGGAAACCTTTCCATTTAGAGATATGAAACGTTCAATTCAATATTTCAACAACAAATGACCTAGTTTGTCAGTCTGTCTTTTATTTGTCTTACCCTCAGTCAAGAAATTGAGGAATACCCTGCTTTTCAGATAAATACTGTACTGAAAATCAAAACATCACAAAGGATCTAAACAGAACTGCCATCAGGAGCTTCAAGGATGGAAGATTTTAAACATGGCTTAGATAATATTTTCCTAAATTTGGAGCCAGACAAAGATGACCGAATAGAATGGGAGGACAGTATGAACTCAGAGTCTTAATCCTGGGGGGTTTCTTACACCTTCCCCTTAGACATGTTTAATTAGCTGGGGCCTGTTGTATTTATTTGGTAGATTTGGATACAAATGGAAAAAAGGTCTTTTCATCTCTTTTTATCAGTAGACCCCCAAAGCCAAGGCAGGTGTCTGTGGGATTAAACATAATTACAAAGGGAGAGAGAGAGGGAAGAAGGGAGCTAGATAATAATTCCCAACAGAGCTGGAATTTGAGAACGGGAGCAGGTGCTGCAAGAGGCCCCATGTATCCAACTAATTTGAGCCACGATGTTGTGTAAAGGCCCACATATTCATCCTTTCAACGCGGAGGGCCCTGGCAGCCTGTGAGTACAAAGACAGGATGCCAGGATGGCCAGCCCCGGCACCATGGCTACCAGGGTAACCAGACCCTGCTTCTCACTGCTGCCTTTGTTGGGTGGCAGCCACGGGAAACAAAGTGCCACTTCTTACCATTGTACAGGCACATGCATAATATCCTTCTTTTGCCTCATCATCATGAATTAGCAATTACTCTATTCTTCGATGGAAGAGCAGCCGCAGGTGACAAAGCACCGCAACTTCTAGTTTATAGTGCTGAAGCCCTTCATTTGGTGTTTCAGTTTTGGATTGACCTCTTCAGCTAGTGTATTCCCATTGTGAAGAAAATTCTATGATCCCATAGAAAAGTGGTTTTCTTTCTCGATTTGGAGGGTCTGACCCATGGTTTGACTGGAGGGGGTTAGAAAGTACTGAAAGAACTATGCACAAAAAGGTCCTTCTTCAACTCAGAGAACACCTGGACTACACAAAGGAGACACAAACCCGAATGCTGTCACCCACCCACGGCGCCACAGCCGCTTCCCATCACAGACTGAGCCACGATGACTCCGTCTGGGCTCTCATTGAAGATCCATTCTTTAATCAAACTTTTAAGATAATGCCACTTTTTCTCTCGTTGTACCCATGGCTCACTCGCATTTAAAGAATGAGAGGGAACTGTGAGATTTTCATTCTGATGGCCTTGCGCCTTCTAAACTCCATGAATGGAGAAGCATTTTAACAATAACTTATAAGTTATTTTGATGAAACTTGAAAGAAGGCTTTTTTTTTAGGCCCCAGAAAGAAGAGAGCCCTGTTTTTCTGCTTGGACTAGTTTTTGTTTTATTTTTCAGACCTTAAAGGAACACTTAAGTGTCAGCATTCCAGATTATAATAATAAAACTGAGAGAATAAAGTTATTTTTTCCAACTGTGGCATGGGGTACCATTTACTTCATAGCGATATATATCACTGTGTAATAGGAATATTCTATAAGTAAAATGTCTGTTTTGATATTTTCTGTCAACTAGAAAAAATGAAATAAAATGATTGAGAGTTTTGATGTATAAAATTACAAAATGACTTTATTGTTTAATTGCACATTTCATATAAGCACCCAGGTACGGTCTTTTTATATATCATCATGTACGTTGTAAAATACCTGGAAACGTAGCACCTAGCTACTCTAATCCCAAGGGCAATATGCCAGGAATGTTAAGATTTATAGTTTGATGAATGTATGTATTTAAGATACGGGAGGAAGTCTTAACCTGGGCCCATTACTAGCCCTTTAACATTTCAGAATATGTCAGGGCATGCCAGGGAAAATAAGAAAAAAAAAATAGAATAAACATTTAAAAGATTAAAGGCATTTTTAAGGGTACTGAATAAAGGTAGACAACTAGTTCTAAGACTGTGGAGTAAATTAAGGGTATCTTTGGACTTCTAAAGCAACATAATGAATGGAGAAAAAATTCACACTGAAGAAAATGTTAGGATGCACTGGTTCTATGCAGGGATACTAGTTGGTTACAAGTGGGAAGAATTGCAGACAGAGATGAGATTATCACCAAGGAAATTATCTTCTTTATTAGCCTCTGGGGGATTTTATATCAAGATTCTAAGAAGGACCCCATGCAGTAGAAATAAAATTAGTGCAACGATGGGGCTAATCAACTGCTTGGAGTTATATAAGAAATAGAGTTAAAGGCAGTCCTGCATGGGATCTGATAAAGTCATTGTAATAATGATGAGAAAGGGGGCTCTTTTGTTACTCCAGTGAGGACATCATTAGAGACTGGACCAGGCCATCTCTCATCAGGATAATATTAAAATCATAAGAGAAGCACAAAATCATAGGCAGCATGATAGGAACAACAGCTTCAACTGTGAAGGGTCAATCTACACAAAGCCTGAAGAAGTCCCATGGAAAATTAGAGGAGCAGCAGAAAGGAAAATATCAGAAACCTTGTGAAAGCGGGCCAGCCACCACTGAGATCCTGCCAGAAGGGTAGCCTGGAGATTCTCGCAATGAATCTGGAGGGACTTGAACAAAGAAACTTTTGTTATCATTTTAATGATGAATTTTATGCTAATTGCACCTACAGCTTGGCTATACCCGAGAACCCCTGGTTTCCTATAATTGCAATATATGTATACCCATGAAACATTTATGAATAAATATTTTCTTTTTTCTTTTTCTTTTTTTTTTTTTTTTCTTGTGACAGGGTCTCTCTTTGTCACCCAGGCTGTAGTGCAGTGGCATGATCTTGGCTTACCACAGCCTCAACCTCCCAGGCTTAAGCAATCCTCCCACCTCAGCCTCCCGAGTAGCCAGGATCAGAGGTGTGCACCACCATGCCTGGCTAATTTTTGTATTTTTGGTAGAGACAGAGTTTTGCCACATTGCTCAGGCTAGTCTCAAACTCCTGGGCTCAAGCAATCCACCTGCCTGGGCCTCCCAAAATGCTGGGATTACAGGCATGAGCCTCTACATCTGGCCCATTCATGAATATTTTCTAAAGAAAAGCATTGACAGAATAAGCCATGTCTTATTCTAGTATAAATATTTTGATAGGTTTAATATTCAAATATCATGAACTATGACTATATTATTGACAATATGACTAAATATGACTATATTATTTAGAATCTGTGTTAAGCATTTATTCAAACCTTGGGCATAGTGAAAAATATTCAGAAAGCATCCTAGAGAAGTAGACAGCATTGGTTAAATTCATTCAACCTGATCACTAGGCTGAACTCACATCTGGGAGTGAGTCTCAAGTTGGAAACAGGTAGCAAGCATCTGAAGAGAGGTTTGGACTTTGAAACAGGAGGGGATGAGAATTTTAGAAGTATTTAGCCACCTCTACTTTACAAATGCAACACCAACTAAATCAGAAACAACTGGATTCAGCAACAATTTCAGGCTTCTTAGTTATGTGGCTTTCAAGCCTGGGTATGGAAGGAACAAACAAGGAGAAGAAGTAGGGAATTACCACAGCTGAAGACTGTAGGGCTCAGCCCTAGGCACATCCTAAAACACCTCTGTCCATCTGCAGCACCTCAGAAGTGGGGGATCTGTTTAGAAATGTGTGCATCTCTCAACTAAGGAGTGTGCAGGGAAATCAGGGAAGTCAAGCATACCTACTCACCAAATGGGATCGTACAAGGATATTCGCGGAGTGGTCTACGTCAACTTTTTGCCACAGAGTAGCTTCATCTATATGAATCTACAGCCAGGTACCTGGCAGTGGGCTGAGGGCTGCTATTATACAGCAGAAACTATAGACAGGAAGATGATTCACATGTGAAGCAGAGGAGAATGAAGAACAGCTAGGATCTGCCAAGTACCTCCTCCTACTGGCTCATCATCATATCTCACTGAAATCACCTTGCTTGAATACTGGCTGATTCCAAATCTTGCATGACATTCCCTTTTCACTTCTCGCCTTGAAGCACGCAGGGAAAAAAGATTTTGAAAAAAATAGAGCTCCCAGCCTAACCAAGTTGGCATACCACAATCTGGCAGCATCTATCCACTTTCAATCTGACACCCATACACTCCTCTTTTAATCACATTTAACTTACAAGTAAAAAGAATAGCAAAACATTTAGCATGTCATTTCTAGTACAACCAAAATCACATTTACCATCTACACAAAAAAGGAGAGACAAAGTCACTGTATTCATCTTTGGGTAAGGATCATTTCTCTTCTAGCAAAGTCACACATACCATTTTTGATATATTGTAAGTTAAATATTGAGATATATAGTTAATTGCTAACATACCTTATGTTAGCCATTATTTCTGTAATTGAGCAAGTGGTCATATTTGGTACTTCTGATGTTCCTCTTCCAATACCCATTCCTTATTCCCTTCGCCCCCAGAAAGAACCTTAGCTTGTCATGGTTCTTTTCTAGATGTGATAATCTAAACCTTAATTGCTGAAGTATGTAGCCATTTTCAGTCCCACCAGGTTGTAGTTTATAATTAACTTCTATTACAAAACATGGTAGCAATAAGAGGTGTCCCAGGAGTATTCCTCTCTTCTGAACATAATTCTCCCCATATCTGTTGTGTAGTAAAAACCAAATTCCCCCCTTAATAAAACTGATTATCCCAGCCTCATGTCTCATAGTTTAGTGTCATAAGGAGCCCAAAATAGCCAGGTGGCAGACTCAGTTTCCAGTTTAATGGAAACAGCATGCAGTCCCTGGTGGAAGCATTTCCTTTTTGAAACTAAGACCTCTAAACCAGCAGAGCCCCAAATTGTGGAAATGGAAGGCAAAAATTTTGCTAGTGGGTATTAAGGGTAATAGGAGGAGAAGCCACTATATTTCATTCATTGATTCCCAGAGCTGTGACTACTAGCTATGGGAGTAACAGCGCCATAAATAGGTTGCTGATTCAGAGAACACACTGCAGCCTTGAGACTATTACCCCAGCACCATGACTATTACCCCAGCACCATGACTATTACCCCTACACTGTGACTATTACCCCAGCACCATGACTGTGTCTTCGAAAGGCCACTTCATAATTCTAACTGTTCAGGGAATCCAGGTGATGGGAACATGATAAGATTCATGCATTCCATCAGCATAAACCCACTGCATTACTTTAGTGTTGCTGCTGCTCAGATTCAACCCATGGAGAATGTCATGTCAGGGAAAAAAATATTCTGTAAGTCCACGGATAGTTGATTTGGAAGTGATATTTTGAACAGAAAAGGCAAATCCTTTCCAGAGTGAGAGAAAATGCTGCCCCAGCCACGATGGGAATCACCCTACATAACTAACCTGCACACAGATGACTGGTTCATGCTCCTTGAGCCATACTGGGGGCTGAGGGTTGGTCTTTGCTGCTAGCAGTTTGGGAAATCACCAGTACTGTAACCAGAACAGCACTGTTGGATAGATGTTTATGTTGCTGAATTCATGCTTAATCTCCCGTGCCTGCTTTCATGGCCACTTTTTTTAGGAGTTCATCGTACAAGGACAGGGGTGACTGGAAAAGGAAACTGATGACATTCACAGAATAAGTTTTCTTGTCCAGGAAATCCAAACACCTTTTGCTGGTGTTTCTATTTATGAAAATTTGAAAGGGAACAAATATCTTCACACTCTGTGCCCAGTTGAAGATAACCTAGTCATCTTCCCTGGACCCTGTTGTTACTGATTTTTCAATCATGTCCCTTTCTAATTTTTAGTCTTTCAGCCAAATTGTTAACTACTGCCCATGAATTAATGTAGGTCTGTATATCTTGGCACCTCCCCTTCCAAGTAAAGCAAGAAATCATGTGCAATGCTCAAAATTTTGCCCATCAGAAGGATTTACCTTCTTTGCTGTCCTTCAGGAGACCCCTGAGGTATGGCTGGAGTGCTTCAGACACCTACGTTTGGATAAATTGAACAGACCATACAAAACCATCTGTGAATCACGACCCGCTTTTTTACTCCCCAGTCAATTCATCTCAGGGAATTATTCATGAGGCAACAGCTGATTTTTGAGAGACAGAGAAAGAAAGCAATTGTATTAGTCAGGGTTCTCTAGAGGGACGGAACTAATAAGACAGATGTATATATAAAGGGGAGTTTATTAAGGAGTATTAACTCACATGATCATGAGGTGAGGTCCCACAGTAGGCTGTCTGCAAGCTGAGGAGGAAGGAAGCTAGTTCAATTCCCCAAACTGAAGAACTTGGAGTCCAATGTTTGAGGGCAGGAAGCACCCAGCACGGGAGAAAGATGTAGGCTGGAAGACTAAGCCAGTCTAGTCTTTTCACATTCTTCTGCTACTTTTATTCTGGCCACACTAGCAGCCAATTAGATTATGCCCACTCAAGATTGAGGGTGGGTCTGCCTTTCCCAATCCACCGAGTCAAATGTTAATCTCCTTTGGCAACAATCTCACAGGCACACCCAGGAACAACACTTTGCATCCTTCAATTCCATCAAGTTGATACTCAATATTAACCATCATGGCAATGTAGCAAGATTAAGAGCCATGGGAATCTGTTATTTTCTCATGCAACTTACTTAAATGCCTTCAGTGACTGTTCAGACCCAGTCTTAAATATACCCCTTCAGCTTTATGATAGAACTCTATTATGTACACACAGCTTTCTGGCTTGATGGATCACACAATGCTCAGTTCACTGTGGCATCTAAGGCTACAGGGAAACAGGAATCCAAGGGCAAATGTTCAGTCTACTAGTCTAGATGTTGCTTCTCAAAAGTAGGATAATTATCTACAGAAGATGGCATGGCTTGGTTCTACAATATTAAGTCCATATAGTGCTTCAGCTATAGGTGCTTTACAAAAGTTCCATACACATACCTATCTGCCACAGACATTTCAAGAATCATTGAGCCAGCTGGGTCATACAGCCCAAGTTTAAGAGCAGCTTACATAGCAACTCGGACCTGTGACAAAGCCTTCTCTTGCTTGAAGTCCCACTTGAAACTCGCACTCTTTCCTAGTACTCCAAAAATGGGGATATGTGGCTTTCAAATCTCAAAGAGGTTCACTAGGTGTTATGTTCATCTTTTTTTTTTGTAGTTAGTGTAGTCAGAAGTAGCAACTTCTCCTTCACCTTGGAAAGGATATTACAGCACAGCACTAGATCTGTTACCAAGTCGGCAAGCTCGCGAATGTTAGATTTATTTCTCAGCCTCTGGCACACATGCTTCTTTCCAAAATATCTAGGACAGTTGCTGTTTCCTGCTCTTGACTCCTATCACCCTAATATCAGCGTAGTGGTCTGATATGAAGTCTCAGTGGAGAGGTGATCAATGCTCCTGTGGACAAGATTATGATGGAGGGCTGGAGTACTGATATAGCTCTACAAAAGAAGAGCAAACGGCTATTTCTGGCCCTGCAAACTGAAAGCAATGTGCTTCTTATGGCCTTTTACTGACATACATAAAGAAAAAAAATTCAAACACATCAATAACCAGATATCAGGGGGTGTGTTTATTTGTTCCAGTAAATAAACCACATCTGGAACAACAGCTGTGACTGGAGTTAAAGATTAAGTTCATACAGACCACCGTAATTATTCAAAGTCTGCCTGTATTTTGCTCAAGACAAATAGGTGAGGTTGGATGGGGATATGGTAGGAATCAAAACCTCTGCTTTCATTGAGTCTTCAATGGTGGCATCTTTGGGAGAAACACCTCTAAGTCCTCATTTGTAAACTAAGTTAGTAGCTGTCTTCACACGTGCCTTTTCTGCCTCTCCTGTGTATGCCCATTCTAACACAGCTCTTCCATTCTAAATACGCCCCTGATTTCCCTAGCACTTACCCAGCTGCCAGAGCATGGCCCCTGCATACCTCTTGTGCTGAGTCTGCCGTGTCTTTTAATAGGGAACAGAGGATCTCTATTACCGTCCTGGTTTACCAGGAGTGTGAAAAATCTCTCAACTTTGGTTTCATTTGTTTCTTTGAAAAGAAAAATGTTGCTTCTATACTCTCAAGTCTCTTCAGTATTATACCCGCAACATAATAGATGCTCAATAAATTATTTGTTAAATTAACTTAAAGATTTGTGAAAAGGAAGGATTAAGTGTGCCTATACTATTTTAATTATAGAGGCTTTACTGTATGTTACCGAGGCAAATTGAGAAGTAGGTCAATCCACACTGACAGTTGCTCAGAACCAGGGTCAGTGTTGAAAGAGCTAAGAAACAGAGATTTCCGGTGTTAGAGACTCAGGCCCCTGTCCTACCAGGGCCACTCCTTCATGAAGATTCATAGGATAGCAAAAACATGTGAAACCTAATAAAATCAAACAGTAAGATAAAATGAAATTTTAGAGAATATTATAAGAAGGATCTATTCTTTCACACCTAGATACACATGCTAAATAAAGTAAAAGCAACGCAGCATGTCCAGACTAACCATATAATGTATTAAAAAGACACTTTTAAGAATGACAGGGTATGTGATTAATAATTATGTTGGGACAGCATGCATAAACACAGGCTTCCCCCAGGCAACCCAGACATATGGCCATGGAGTGACAATCACCTGTGATACACCTAGCTTATTAGTTAATATTTGTAAGATGGGCCCTGAGGGGTCAGAGTCAGGAAATAACTTATTCCATGTGACCTATATCTCTTAACACATAATTACCTGTATTGTATTTGGAGACACCACCCCCTTTTCTCTTTTTTTCATTACTTTCATATGCATCTCCCTTAATTTATGTCCTATTAAATGCCCCTTATTTTCTAGTTTTTCATTTTCTTATACTTCCACAAATTCAACTTGCTAATAATATTCCACCCTTCCATCCAGTTATTCTTTAGAGCTAGAACCAAGACCCTCGGGGTAGAATTTCTTCTCTTCTGACATATAAATTTGCATTTTTAAAAAGCAGATATAAATTCAGGATCTCCACTTCCCAAGTATAAAACTATGGAGACCTAGTATAAATTCTCAAATTATATAAAAAAAGAAATATTAACACGACCAGACTTCCTGATATCTTGAGAAAGCTGGATTTCCTAAGGAAAAATACTTTCGGAGCTAAAACCAACCTTAGTAATCACCTTGTGTAGCTTATGTGCTAAAATCTTCACCCACTTTCTGGGATCTTAGAAAAGTCATTGAAAAAGGAACCCCGGTTTAAAGGAGTAGCTTTTAACTGACACAGCACACTTGGAGGGATTGATGAGTTCTGTAATGTGAACTGTTTGCTTAGGGATTGCCTTGTTGTTTCATTACCAAAGGACTTGGATTCAGATCAGAATTGGAACACAGAAAATACCAGAATTGTTCCATTATGGGGAGTCAAGCAATCATTGAAGGGGGCGTGCAAAGGTAAACTTTAGTTCACAGAGTCTCTGCAAATAAATCACTTTCAGCTGTCATACCACTAGTTAGCATGGGCTGTTTGATCTTCAAATTGCAAGCTAGTAGTGACATGGCAGTGGCAGGGCTAAAAGGCAAAATGTAGAAAAATGTATCATTTTATCTTCTCTATTACTGAAACTTTGTCTTGCAGAGAGAATTTTTAATAGCCCTATGATATGTGGTCACCAATGTCTGAAAGATATCTTTTTCATGAAATTCATCATCAGGACTTAACTAAGCTCCAATCAGTAAAGTTTCTCTTTAAAAAATATTATCATTTTCTTGTTTTTTTTTCTCAAGTCATTGTAGATGCTTTTTTGGTACTTTTTGATCAATTTGTTTTACCTACTATGTTTAAGGACTTATGTGAACAGGCAAATATTTAACATCTAACTTATCTTGCCTAATCACTCTTATAACTGCAATTATATTTGATTATGCACAAATGTAACATTCAGAGATCACTTGTGTTCGTCTTACATATTAGACCTTTCCACACCCATGATAATGAAACGTAGTTTCTGTGAAACATCAGAGTGTGTGAATGGGTTTTGATTCTCTTAGAGATCAATGGATCTCTTTCTGTCACTTATAAATCTTCACCAAAAACTCTGGTAAGTAGTTTCATTAGTATATCCTACTGTTTCCTAGCTAAACATTATAGACAATGCAGCACACGCTCATCTCTGTTACTGAAAAATCAACTCATAATACAGGTTCCTCTAATATTGTGTTACTGGCATTTTATTCTATCAAGAGCTGCGTAATTACTTGTAGATGCATGCATTCTTCTGTGCCTTAAGAAAATCCCCTAGAATCTTCAGCTTAACCAATTACTGTATACATGATACCAAAAGCATATGAGTTTTGAAGTATAGCTTATCTATTGTTCTCTTTGTCTCAAAATCTTTGCCCCTAAAAGGCAAACCCTTAATTTGAAAAGCTATGTTTAAAAATAAAATTATAATTTTACAACTAAGCCAAATGAACCATCTAGATGGTTTACCATTTCTCCAAGACCATACTTTCTAAAAAGAGCTTATTATTGGAAATTCCAAAAACATATCAAAGTAAATAGAATAACATAAAGAACTTTCTAGCATACAAAATATTTCATACTCATGTAACATTCTTGCACCAGCCCTGGAATAAGCTTTTTCTCCAAGGAGCACTGGTTCTTTTCATTGTACAATATCGTTTAAAAACCATGATACTGTATTTTATATGCAAATTTTGGGTTTTGTATCCCATTCCAATAGCTCCTCCAATCCTGCATCATTACCCAACTATTTTAATTATAGAGGTTTTATTGTATGTTTTAATTTCTGGTAGGTCTAAATCCTCTTCTTCACCTATAGCTCCTGCTTTTTTTTTTTTTTTTTTTTTTTTTTTGCCTAGGCTGAGTGCAATGGTGCAATCTCAGCTCACTGCAACCTCTGCCTCCCGGGTTCAAGCAGTTCTCCTGCTTCAGCCTCCCAAGTAGCTGGAATTACAGGCACCTGCCCCCATCCCCAGCTAATTTTTTATATTTCGTAAAGACAGGGTTTCACCATGTTGGTCAGGCTGGTCTCGAACTCCTGACCTCAAGTGATCCACCCACCTTGGCCTCCTAAAGTTCTGGGATTACAGGCATGAGTCACCACACCCGGTCAGCTTCTGCTTTTTAAGGGCTTCCCCAGATATTCTCACTTCCCTACTTCCCAGGTAAACTTTAACTTGTCTATCTCCCAGAAATAAGGGTGGCATGTTATTGAGATTATATTAACTTATTTAGATAGACAGGCATCTTTATAATGTTGCATCTTCTTGTATTCCACATATTCCCGAGGAATATATTTTATTATTCCTGTATTTTATTCTATATTGTCATTAATATGGCAAGAGCCATGTGGTATCTGTATTATTCTATCTTGACCATAAATTGTATATTTTTTTCAAAATTACATTCTTATTTGTAAGTGTTACTCAACCCCAAGAAATAATCAAGGCTTACTAAGCCTGTTGGCAATTTAATCTCATTAAACCCATCTTAAACTTCCCAAATATGTATTTTATTCATATTACTAGAAATTTAATCTTTCCATATTTAAAAAATATCGGAACAAACTGTTAATATTGTTTACATTTGTATTACATTATTGAGCCATTATTCCTTATTTTTTGGCAGTGTAGACATTTCATCTCTTATAAATTGTGCAGCTACTTTATGTTTGACAAAAAAATGCATTTTGTAACAAGAAAATGCATTTTGATGGAATGGCAAGTTCCATCAAACGGAAAACAAAACTGAAAAGGAAAACTACATTTGCTGCTATTACGTGTATTAAAATCTAAGAATGAATCGACATTCATCACACGTTTCCATTTTCTAGTAAATAATTCCAAAGAACTCTTTGCATTTGATGCTTTGACTCTGCAGTCTTCCCCAATGTTACTATAAACACAAGGTTTCTGTTGTTACTGTCTACTTGTTTAAACAAAATTACCATGTCCTTCTTTATTCCAATGTACCACACATTAGGTTGTGACAAGTAAAATCAATGAGGTCACTACATTTTTTTTTATGATTTGTGCCTACCTGTGTTTGGAAAGAATCAAAGCGGCCTACAATATGCTTACTGTGTAAATTTGCCAATACATAGTCATATTAATTTTCTATTAGGCCGTTTTTACATGAAAACCTTATAGAGTTTAAATTAATACATAGACAGACAGATAGACAGATGGATTTATAAAATATACAAAAGGGAAATATGAAGTTATTTGGAAAACAAGGGAGATTTGTTCTAGGAGCCAGAGCTAAGTTAATTACTGAAATACAGTACCTAGTTTGGTTCTGAACTTTCATGAAGCTAAAGCAAATAGAAAAAAAAAAATAGAGAGTGAGAGAAAAAATTAATGAACCGTCTCATCAAAAGAAAAAAAAATTCCCCAAAACCAAACACTTCATCATCAGATCTCTGAACTAAACATCTTCAGATATGCTTGCTCCACTCATCAGCAGAGAAAATATTCATTAATCAGAATGTTCAGTACTTATCCTGTTTAGCTCCATTGTTAACAGAGGGGTGAAAGAGATAAAAATAGTATTAGTTACTGTTGTTGAAAATATGTCTAAACCATTTTGGTTCTTTGACCTAACATAAATTAATACTTGAAAATGTAAATCTTTTACAAATTACTGATGGCTCCATGTAAACACTATTTCTCTTAATGGAGTAATGATTCATGGAAAAACTTCTATCAAAACTTTTTCATCTTTATTATGGAAAAGCATAATTTATGTTTATAGACCAATGTTGCACTTAAAAATTACACCCTAAACTGCATTTTTGAAAGTATTATTATAGAATGAACCAAAATATTATCTGGGTCTAGAACATAAATATTAGTGTAGCTATCTGGGTTAGAGAAGTTAATAGAATGTAGGCTGAAGGTAGAGCACCCTCTTCCAGGACAGCTCACATTGCTGGTTCCATTTCCATTTGCTTCCATGTCTCAACATGTCTAATTGAGGATTCTGATGAATTTATGTTGGTCATTTGATGTCTCAAAAGATATTTTTTCAAGATATGATAATAGATTGTCTTCTTCTACATGATCTTGCAGCAAATCTTGAAAAACTCTATGGAATTAACAGAACATCTATGTTCACTCCACCATGCATAACACACTCAGGTTATCTTTTATGTCAAATATATATACCTTTTATGTAATGTTCCACAATGTGGACAGAATGATGAGAAGGCTAACAATCCTATTATAAAAGAACTTCTTGTCTAGTGGAAGAAACACTAATATAAACATTTAGTCACAATACGAGGTGCTTGGTATTTTATTAAATACAACAATAACAGCCTTGCCTCTGGGGGTGGAGAACACTTCCTAGAGTAGGGGACATTTGAGATGTTCTTAGAGAATTATTAGAAATTTATTAGGTGAAAATGAAAACATGGAGAAGGACATTTGGATCTGAAGTCATGAAAAATACCAAAAGGAAATGGTCATACAAAAGAGAATGAATTGGAGTGAACAGAATATTAATTTCTCAGACTTGAAGTGTAAGGCCAAGTGGAAAATAAGTCTATAAATACTATTGCTGCCTGTTGGTTTTGTGCTGTGTCAACTGAACTAGGTTGGAATAGCATTTGCTAGAATTCTTGTCTCTGATGGATGTGGGCTATGGTTGACCACAACAGAAAGGTGCATGAGACCTGGAATGTAGAAGTGACTTAGAAGGAGGTTAGTAGGCTCTGAAGCTGGACTGGGTACCAGCTGCACTGCAGCTCTTGTACAAGGTTGCTGATTTGTTTGATCATCTAATTGCTATGGGGCAGCATTCAAGTCTGCAGCTCCTGCAGCTCCCCTCTCAGGCTAGCCTAAATATCAAGCACATGTGCTAAAGTCATCTAACTCCTGGAGGTCACCTTAGCTATCAGGATTGGATACAGTGAGAAACAGATACAGATAGCACTTTGTCCTCATGGATAGCAGTTTGTCCTTTCTGCAACCCAGCTTTTAGTGTCCACTGCTGCCTCTACTGAGCTATAGCAACTTCAGCCCTGCCACCAGATGCAGAGGCAACAGCTTTCTAAAAACTTCTTTACTAGCTCCCAAAGCTGTGTAAGATCCATTCTCTACAATAAATCCCTTATTCCACATAACTTATAGTGATTTTTCTGCCCTGAATTTTAAATGATACACATGCTTTCTACTATTTAAAGTTTACAAATAAGGTACAATGAATACTACCTTTTCCTCTGTAGAACTGACATAAATCAGAGTGGTTTTGTTCTGTATATTTATTGTTCTGTAGAGGAAGCAGTAAAGAAAGATCAAAGCTCATTCTACTTAGGGAATTAAAATGCTCAGCCATACCTACAAGAACATGTCCATGAAAAATCCATTCTTCTTAGCAAAGAGAGCAAAGGGGATGAGCTTGGATTCAAATTTGTTCACACAGATTAAGATTGGAAATGCAATCTTTATCCTAGGGTTAGTATGAACCTGGGTTTTTCAGGTGAGAACTGACGATGTTTTCATGAGTATAACTCTTCACATGTGTAAGATAAAAAATAATGCTATGAACAATACTGGTAGAAGTTTTCCTGGTCCCATTTACTGTGAGGTCCGACAACAGTCTGTCATGTTTGGTACCTCAGTCCAAGAGTAACTAGCCAACAGTTGTGCAAATGTTTGTCACATATTGAGAATTGGCTCACAACATCTGTCCTTCTGGCAGGTTAGCTTTGCTGGTAGTTAACTTGAAGCTCTATAATTCTACTTCTTTGGTTTATTTAGCCAAAGAGTAAAGATGAGAAATATGACTTTAAGACGTGTTTCAGATCTAGAACTATATTTACTCAGAGTTGTTTCTTTATATCCTGAAGAATAAATGGTTATTTGGACAAGGAAAAAGTAGAGGATTGGCCAACCATTCCTGATAAGGCCTATGGTAACGATAATGGTGTGTGTGTGTGTGTGTGTGTGTGTGTGTGTGTGTATGATGGGGGTAATGGATGACAATCTCAGGAGGTTGAGTTATTTGTCCCTGGCCTGAAAATTAAAAAGGAAGAAATAGCTTGTATTGACAATAATCATACAGAAAACCTAGCTTTAATGATTTCAATCAAATTTGCTGCCCTATTTTGTTAAGTAAGAATCACGGGTACAATTAAGAAATCAATGATGATTATTGTATAGCAAAACACAGTGTCTGGCAGAAAAAAAAAAAAGTCTGAGGAAAGAACTTAATTTAGAAATGATCATAACTCCCCTAAAGCTAAATAACAAAACAAAATTTTAAGGCTTCTCTTGCAAATAACCAGACAATTTCACTCATTCCCAGAATAATGGCTCTTCTGTGGAGAAAACACTGTCTAGCTTCCTTTAAGATACACATTTCCAAGCATAATATAGGAAATTTTAAAATTAAATGATGTGCTCAAGACTTTCTTCATGAGCAATCTGGATGTTATTTTCCAAATGAATGAGATTCATGAAAGATGAGTTACTGACTCCCCACTATGAGTATAGCATTGAACTAATCATGAAAAAGTGGAAACAGAGATAAACATATAAGTTGAATACACTAATGCATTCTAGCATAAGCACATAAAAGCATTCTTATTTGTACCCTAAGTGAATAACAGTTTAGATTAAAAATTGATGAAGTTGTGTTAGGACCAAGAGGTTGTAATAATAGCTTTGTTCATTCAAAGTAGTCTTCATGAAGAATACGAGGCTGGGTGTTTTTCAAAACAGGTATGTATGAAGAAGGAATAATTTTCTAGATCATAACAAATATTAACACATTTTGAAGGGTGCATTGTTTATTGCTTAAAAATTCCGTTACTAGTTATTTGCCACAATAATTGGGGATGTAGCAATGAAGATTTCCATTGCAATGCTAATTAGAATAGCTAAATAATTTTGACATTCAAAGATATCAAACTACAGGGGACTGCCCCAGCATCTCTTGAAGTTGCATAATTGGCACGGTGGCTGCACCCTCTTCTAAGATATGTAGATAGTGCCCCAAGATGAGGGGTGTAAAAGCCTGGATGCTGTGGAAGCCGTCCTGACTGTTGAGAAGAACCAGAAGCTGGTCCTTCTGTATCTGCTTGCCCTGGGTTCTGCCCGCACAGACTCTATCTTGGTGACTTCCTAGAGAGCCATTTCCTAGACGAGGAGGGAAAAAGAACTCAGCAAGAAGACCGGTGACCACCTGTCCACCCTTCACAGGCTGGACTGGGCCAGTCTGTCTTCCAAAACCTCCCCGTGAAGCAGCACTGGAAGGCTCTGGAGCCCGTGTCGTTTGAGAAGCTTCTCTGCATCGCCTGGTACCAGGGCTTCTGGTACCTCCATCCACTAGGCAGCTGTTTAAGTACCTCCAGGGTATTTAAAAAGCTCCAGGCCCTGTGTCTCAAGCTGTGAACCAGTTGGAGACAATAAAGCCTTTTGCAGCAAAACCAATAAATAAAGATATAACCACATAAAATGCCAGCCAGATATTATTTGTTACTAACATATTCATAACATACTTTTAGAGAAAAATAATTTGTTTACAAAATAAACTGTACCGTGTGTGTGTGTGTGAGAGACAGTGAGAGAGTGAGAGAGAGAGAGAGACAACTTAATATATTCCCAAATTGTGGGGTTTTTCAGTTTTTCGTATTTTTTGGTTTTACATTTTTTACAATAAGCATATTGCTTCCACAGTTGGAAATAAGTTGTTCTAGTTTTTATTAAAATAAACAAGAGAGTACAGGATGAGCTGTGAACAACTTTAGATTTGGGAGGGATGCTATATCAAGGGCTTATCAAAAGGCCATCTTACTCTCCTCTCTTTTAACGAAGGCCTCTCAGTAATGCCTTCTCGATTTATTTTCCCTTTTCTCCTCTCCAAAGCATTCTTCAACTTGTTTATGGCCAGGTATTTTGTTTCCTATTGATTACTTGCTTTTTAGTACACCATGCAATGGTGTGCCCCCAGGATGGATATCTAACAGAATCAAGGCTGCTTCAGACTAGTGACATCTTTGTCGAAGGTAACGCAGCTTGACCCTGTGGAAAAAGCAGCTGCTTTGGGTAAGGAGAGCCGTGAGGAGTGAACACTTAAGGGCTTGGAGAGAAGAAAAACAAGCATAAAGGTAACAACCACAATTTTTAGAGAAGGAAGATAAAGGAAATCTGATTTAAAGCTATCTCCTCAGTCAGCTCAGCCTAATGGGTCCTGGCATTCTGGGTGGCACTCTCATGCATCCACGAGGGGACTGGGGTTCAAGGAGCAATCAGATTTAAGACAATTGGCATTCAGCCTCCGCGAGGAGCAGGGACAGAGGGCTCTTTGTTGAATCAGGCAGCCAGAGAGTACCTTGTGCTGAGCAAGATCTGGATTAAGGGCGTGCATGCTCGCTTGTCACAAATGTTTTATTGTGTGTCTGGGCAAGTCATTCTCACTTGTTAAGGAACAGCCAGGGTTTTGTTCTGTATGGGCCTAAAATAAACCAGAAAAATCAGAGGGCCTTAGGGTGGGAGGGAGCAGGAGGAGTAAGAGTTCAGGTTTATGGTCTATTTCTGTTTGGTTAGCTCTTTGGCTTTTTGAATAAAAAACTTCCCAGGGATTTTAAGGTTTAAAGTCTTCATTATCTCTAATTTTAAAGGGTCATTTATGCTGATAATTCTTAAATCTCAACTGGAATAAGAAATTCACTCGTTATCTCAATATAAATGTCATCTTGGTAAAGTGCATTACATAAAATCAAAGTGTCTTAACTCTGACACACCAGATCAGCTGAGTTAAGACAATGGCAACCAGTGAAGCGGCCTATTTTGAGTGTAGTTTTCCTTCATATTTTTTTATCTATGTCTCCTTTCGAAAAATATAAAAGTCTCACAGACACAGTTATTTGAAATACCACTAACGCAATGAAAAACAAATCAAACACTGGGAATGTTTGCTTTTATTTTTTCCCAAACTACACATTCTCGTTTCCCCATTCTGACATTTCCCCAAATCTACCACCTCCTCCCAGGACTGTGTGATCCCTATTGATAACCAGTAATTGTTTTCATGTAATCAGAAAATCTGATCTCTAATCTCAAGCACTGTTTTAACTTAGCTGCCTCCTGTGCTTGCATAAGTTACTTATTCTCTCCAGATCTCAATTTTTCCATCTATCAACTGTGGATGCTATAACCTGTCTTTTTATCTAACAGGGTTGCTGAGATTCAAGAATGACAACAAATTTTAAGACACTTTGTGAAATAGAGAACAATAGGAGTTATGATGTAAGGCCTTCAACTTTGTCATTGAAGTATAGCTAACACACAAAGTCCACATCCTACCCCAAGAAGGAACAGTAGAGCTTACTCACAGTGTCCTTTACCTCTGGGCATCTCAAAAGGACAATTGAAAAAACTGTAAATGTGCTCATTGCTTTTGAGAGAGTCACAAAGTTTAGGGCATGGCTTAAGCCCAAGAAAATTAAGCAGCCTGTGGAAGAGGATAGAGATGATTGCACTGGATGTAGCTAAAGATGGCAAAGTGTTTGCCAATGAACAGATGTAGACCTTGAAGGAGAAGAAGACAAGGTGGGCTGCTCTTGCTTCCTGTATACTAGGATCACAGAGAGGGATGGTGTGCCGGAGGTCCAGACGTATGTGCTAAGTTGCTAACAGCTGCTGAAAGAACCAAAATAACCACTGGAATAGAAATGCAGCCTCCCAAGGCAAGACTCTCCTTGACATGCACAGTCCCCAGCAATGACTGTCAGCAACAGCAAATGACAGCATCCCAAGACGTAAGAGATGAGTTTTAGCCATCTACAAGACCTAGAGAAAAGAAAACCAGATGGCCAAGTAAGATTGCCCTATTCCCTTTCCCAGTCCTCTCTTCTCACACTTAACATTGGTGGATCTGTAATGTGTGCTTGCTAAAGCTGGAGGAGGTGAGGAGGTGAGGAGGTGACTGAGAAGCAGGCAGAAACCTATCCCAGGGCCTTTTCCCAGGCCAGGCAAACACCAACCTAAAGTTAGTCGAGAGTAAGAAATCCTTTTCAATAAAAACTAAAGCATTTATTAATATTTTGGCCTGGACACATTCTACTTACTGAAGCACACTGTATTTAGTGACTTAAAGTGATTATGGATCTTTCTAGGTAAGAGTAGTCACGTGGTTTACCCACATTTCCATCCTGAGACAGAAGATAATTATGCACCTGCCCATTTCACCTTGAATAATTTTAAAGGGATGAGAAAATAAAATTGTTTCTAATTATCCTTATTCAAGGTAATGGTTATACATATACATACTGGCTACAATGCTAACTTCTGGCATATTCACTACTGATGGCATTTTAAAAATAAATTGTGAACCTCAGGAAACAACCTGGGTGAGATACGAAGCTCTCAAATTTTTAAATAAGCAGCCACTGGGCACTTATATTTTACAAATAATCCTATTAAATATTATCAGGAGACAAGAAAAGAGAAGACAAATCCTCTGCTTTTGGATTAGTTTGCAATACAATTGTAGTGTTAAAACATGCAATGATATTGCAAGTTGTAAATAATTGCACAGTGACCTACTAGCTTACCCCAAATAACAGAGTGCAGTAAATCTGTGTAAGAACAATCAGTGAAAGGATCTTGGTGTTCCTTGGAATGCCAGTGTTTATGCCTGTGTTTGACTTCTCCACCCTTTCCAGATCAGAAAATAGGGATTCTGGAGCAGTGTCTCATTCACTTTTTATTTAGCCCTTTTATTTCCAGCCCACTGAAGTGCACATCCTGTAACTCATGATGCCCAAAACTCAGGAATTATCTCATGCAATCCCCCTTAGTTGCTCTGAGAGTCACTGAAGGCGGACAGGTGGGAGAATGGAAATTAAGAATGCAGACCCACAGACCTTTTCTAGAACAGGCATCACCAGGTCTCTTTGTAAAGAATGCTAGGTAGGCGTCTCATACAGAAAGATGGCATGAATGCTGGCCCGCTTAGGACAATGGGGAGTCCATTCATAGAGAAACTCTCTAGAGAATAAAAGGTCATTTAGTTTATAGGTTGAATCGTGTCCCCCCACAAAATTCATATGTTGACATCCTAATCTCAGCATCTCAGAATGTGAACTTACTTGGGAATAAGAATTCAAATAAGGCTATTGAAGATGTAATTAATTAAAATAAGGTCATAGTCAAGTAGGTGAGTCCTTAATCAAGTAGGACTGGTGTTTTTATTAAAAAACGACTGGTGTTTTTAGATGAAAATTTCCCAAGTGTAGTGAGAGATTTACACTTCCAGGTCCTGGAAGCTCAGAAAGCCCCAAACAGATACAATGCAGACAGGGTCTTCTCCATAGCAAATTATCATCAAACTGTCTAAAGTCAAAGACAAAGAGAGAATTCTTAAAAACACCAAGAGAAAAGCTGGAAATCTCGACCCAGAGACACGAAAACAAGGAGAATGCAATGTGAGGGTTGGAGGAAAGCTGCCAAGAAACTACCAAAAGCTAGAAAAGAAGCCTGGAACAGATCCTTCCCTAAAGCCTTCAGAGGCACCATGGCCCTATGGACACCTTGATCTCAGACTTCCCATCCCCAGATCAGTGAGACAATAAATGTCTGCTCTTCAAGCCACTGTGTGGCACTTTGTCATGGCAGGCCTAGCAAACTAATACTACCTACCCTTTCTAAGAACCAGTTTACAAAAAATAATAAAAGTATTTCAACATATAACTTATAAAGCAGAGAAATAATACTTCAAAATAATACAATAATAGAATCTAAGCCCCAAGAAAAAAGCAGACATATTTAACATGTACGAGTACTTCAAACTCAAGTATCAATAGAAACTAAAATAAAAAGGAGAACTTTTCAGCTCTGAAGTCTTTATATCTGTATGACATCACATTTAAATGTTCTATTTACATATCAGTCTGCCTCACTAGTCTGAAAGTGCCTTAACAGGGACTCTGCCTTATTTACCTTCATAATCCTTGCACATTGTACGGAACCCCAAACAGTTTCATGAGAGATTCATGACAGGGTAATAATCATTAGTCTTTCAAGAGTAAGTGATCATTATCAGGAACCTAACCACCAATGAGGAAGCATCATTTCAGCTAATCTGTGACCCTGAGCCATGCTTGTGTATGCATTTCCTTGTTGTCATTTAAATTCTAAACATGGGAAACTGTTATGAATTTTAATCTACCACATGCAAGCGCAAACAAAATCACATTACTTTATTTTCTATAATAAAGAAACTTATTTTTGACTCTAAAGTCCTGTCTCAATGATGGGGAGAAATTCAATTGCATTCGAGTGCTAAGAATGCTTCCTCTTGCCCTGGCATCTCACCAAAAATGGGAATGGACCTTGCCCTACAATGAGCAAGAGGCCGCTGGCATCCGTCTGTCATGGTTGCTCATTACCCAATGGCTAAGGTTTCCTTAGCTGAGGATAACTCTTCATCTATGTCACTGTTGATTTTTCCAAGGCTGGGAGCCTAGGCCTGGAGATCCACTGTCTTTGAGTGCACCTTATAAGCATTCACGAGCCCGAGATCCTGAGCAGAAGGGAGCTAGGTCTCTTTCTATACCCTAGTTAGAAAATCATTTTCAGTCTTCAGGCCTCTCCCTCTCTCCTAAGAGCCGCTTCTGTTCTCACCCCCCAAGCACTCTCCTATCCTTACCCTAAAGGGACAAGCCTGCAGAATGCCTCTCTCAGGCCCCTACATGTAGAAACTTAACCAAAGTCAGTCTTTTTCTCTGAAAGGAAAGTCAGAAGGAAAGACTGCTTCTCACCAATTGTTTCCTTAGTAATTCTCCCTGTCATATACTTTGTATCTGTTTGCAGCTCTCACTTCCAAACAAAGCAACATTTTCACAGATATTAAACTGGCTATCAGTTAGTGAGACTCTCACATGTACCCTCATTTAATACACTTTCTTTCCCCTTCCAAAAGGGGAAAAAAAACAAAGTCAAGTTTCCTTGAGTATACCAAGATGGTTACAAAGAACGACAGTGACTGGACTATTTCACTAGACTGTGAGATGGATTTACCCTAAGAAGCAGCAGAGAGTTATTGCACCCTCCTCAGCTATTGTGGTAGTCGATTTTCATATCACAGGGTTGGGGAGGAAGGTCAGTGCATAAGGGTTGGGGACTTACATTGGGAACATCTTTCACAGCCCAAACCAAAAGCTGCTCACCAGATGTGTGCAGCTCTGACGGCACCACATCCAGGAACACACTCCATATAAATTGCAGCTGCCTGAGTTCACATGAAGTAGGAAAATCAATTAGAGGAAAGCTGAAACAGAAATTGAGGGAAACCCCTCCAGTCTCTGTTTAATATTTCTCTACTTTTCCTTTTTCCTTTAATCAAACTTTGATGAATCCAGCTAACTTTTCCATACCACTCACTGTCCCTGCTTATTCACTCAATGTGTGTGTGGGGGGGGGGGGGGGCGGGAGAATAAAATTCCTTAGTTCTTTCATTTCTCAATGGGTCCAGCATTGTTAATTATACCTTGACAAATTGACCCTAATATATATATCCAAAAACTATTAGAAATGAAGAGTTTCAAGAATTACTTCTGGACTCTTCTTAAAATCTGCAATATTGTATATGTGTGTGTGTATACACATGTATTCCTACCTATATGCACATGCACACAGACCCTGTTTCAGGACTGGCGTGCAAAGAATCGGCCCCATCGCCCATTTTATTACTGTTTGCACATCTGGTGCAGAGCAGCAGTGAAGGCCTCAGTGTCTGCAGCAGCTCCGGCAATTAGCTCTGAATGAAACAGTCATAAATAGTAATTAGCCATTCCCTCAGTCATGTCCCAAAGCCTTTAAAAAAATCCTCAGAGAACTCAATGCATTCTTTTCTAAAGACCTATTATAAGCGCACCACCCACTCCACCGTCATTTCAGAGAAGCTAAGAGCAAGAGCAACATTCCAGCTGCCCCCCAGATAGCTGGAGTGCCAGTTCCTGACGGGGGATCAGCGAGGGGAGGCAAGGAGAAAGGGGGCGGGGAGAGAAGGTGCTGCAAAATCAAAGGTCAGTAAAACATTTACCAAGGTGGGGAGCTGTGGGTCGGAGGAACAGAGAGTATTCAGCACAGGAGGATGCTGGGACCGCATCCTAATTAAGGTGGAATGCCTCCTACCATGCCTCACCTCTGCTTCAACTGTGAATTGAGATGCTGCGGGAGAACCTCATTAATTCTTTCTTCACTCATGGGTGAGCTCTCTCAGCCTTAAAATGATGTCGGTGGATTTCACATCACTCCTTCAATGGGGATGTAACAGCAGAGAACCTAGCATGAAGGCTCATATTCATTAAGCCCTATCTCCCCTCTTAAAAATGTGGATTCTGCGGCCCTGACAGGCATACGTATGTGTTGTTAGGGAGTTTGCGATAGTGACAATTAAGACCTGTCATCCAATACACAGACATAGTCCATTCTGTGATGTGCTGAGTAGCCTTGATGTGATCATTCTAATTCACACAGTCAGGGGTCTGGAATGGGCCTTGAAAGCTTATCTGGCTTATTCCCTTGGCTTCAGTTATGTCTCTTCTATTCCATTTCAAACAGATTTATGTACAACAAAACTCGTGAGCTCAGCCTTTTTGTATCAACCATCTAGACCCTGGTCTAATCATTCATGGGGTGCTTAATAAGAGTGTTCTCAGAAACATGGATCGGGCATTACCAGTGACCTGAACAATGACGGGCAGCATTTCTTCAATTGCGGAGGTGCTATCCTGGTGCCTAACGTAAGGCATCTGAAATGTAAACCTAAGCATCTTTTCCAACCCTGTCACCCACTTTACACTTTTAGTTCTCCAGTTAGCCTGAATGTAATACTTATCATTCCCTGAACATATATTTTCTCTATGTGCCTCCACACAACCACACACACGCACGAACACACACATGCACACAGGCACGCACACCTTGTTAACAATGCTCTCTGCTGTTGACCCGCTCCATCCTTCTAGAAGCAGCCTGATATAATGATAAGAGGTTGAAGCCAGACAGTTGACCTTGCTATACATGAGATGTGTTGACTTGGAACTGCTCCTTGGTCCCTCCAAGCCCGGAGCTCTTAACCCTGGCTGCACATTAACATCACATGAGAGGTTTTCAGCAACAATAACCATAACAGCAACTACTACTACTCTTTTCACACCAGACAGCCCCTCATATTTACAAAACAGGATTCAACTCCTTCTGTAAACAAATTAAGCCCTTACAATAAAAACACAACTGCTACTTGGGAGGCTGAGGCAGGAGAATGGCGAGAACCTAGGAGGCAGAGCTTGCAGTGAGCCAAGATCGCGCCACTGCACTCCAGCCTGGGTGACAGTGTGAGACTCCGTCTCAAAACCAAACCAAACCAAACCAAACCAAAAAAAACCACAACTGCAAAATATCTTCATTTTCATAAAAAGAAGTAAAAGAAATATGCTGAGACCCTGCTGCAGACTCCTGAAATCAGAAGCTCTGGGAGTGGGGTCCTGGCGTAGGTATGTTTGTAACAGTTCTCCCTATGATTCTCTTGCAATGTGCACTCAAGGTCCAGACCAGAGTTTAAGACTTCAGTTTTGTTCACCTGTAAATCAGTGATCATAATGGCCTGCTTCCAATGGTTATTGTGAATTTTTAATTCTACAACATGGGTAAAATGTCTGAAACATATCAATATATAATCAACTAGCTGTGATTTTGTTATTACTACCCATTTTGCTTTCCACATTATCCAGCCCTCTCTGGAAGCTCTATTGCAGTGCAATATATGTTATGAGTGTGCTTGATTAGGTTCTGAACTCCTTAGTGTGTCTGTCTACCTAGCACTGGCCCAGCATCTGGCACAAAAGAGCATCAGCATAGTGAATGAACCATTCTTCTACCGGAATGTTCCCCACCTTTCCTCCGAATATACAAATCAATTCATCATTCAAGGTCTAAATTTCTCACTTCTCCCCTCAGCAAACTCCTGTCCATCACTCCTTCCCATCAGAACTCAGGTCTCTTACAGTATAGATCATTCACCTGGCAACTAGTTATAACTGATCTTATAATAGCCCTTCCTTTATGATCTTATATTATTTTAACTCATTTAGCTATTTTTGTTTGTATCTTGTCTCTCCAAATAGACATTATATTTTTAATCTATTTTATAGCCCTCATAGGGCCTAACATGATATGTAATATGGGGAAAATATTTAAAAAATTAAAAAAATAAATAAATCCTCTGATAAGGGGAGAAAATAAAATTTCCCTCAATTTGGGTGCAAATGGATTGAATTGGGATAGAAATAGTGATGTTTAACAATCTTGAGCACACATTTTAATTTCATGATAATAAGTTGTACTTTCTTTGCTGGTAAACACATGGTGACTGGTAACTGCCAAAAGGACAGTAAAATGCTACAGCAAATTCACTGAGTTTGGAGATATAGGTTCTGGTACCAGTGCTACTAATACCTAACTTGAGACCGTGAGCAAGTCAAAGCACCTTTATGGCTTTAGGTGCTGTTAAAAGGCGAGGGTTCTACACTGATCTGTAAGATAGCTTTCAGCCTTTACATTCCATATTTATGACTAAGATTTTTAAATGCAAGAGTGCAAAGTTCTAGACATGAAGGACTTTTCAATATATACCATGATTTCCCCTGAGAATGGACGACAGAATTATGCAAACATGAGAATTCAAGGAAAGAAGGAAAATCTACTGTGGCTAAGAAAAGGGAGACAAGGAGTTTGGGATGAAGCCTGATTTGTGGGTCTCTACTGCCCTCCTCAGAGAAAAGGATGGCAGTGGGGTGGCAGGCACAACAGTGGGGAGGGAGAAAGAGCCTTTTTCTGCAATCGAGATTTACAGAGCATGCATTTTCTAGAAAAACAGGTTTCAGTGTGGGTTAACTATTTCTCAGATAACAATACACCTCTGAGAGTCACATGTACTAACTTAAAGCTAATTATCTTGATAATGACTGAAACCAACATTGATGAAGCCATTGCTATGTCTCAAACATAAAAGGGACTCTATTTAGTGACATTACACTTGCCTATCTGATGACTCTTCTAATAAGTGCTTCCAGTTTTTTATAAAGCTACCAGTGGCTCCTCACACTTTTGGGTTATTAAAGGCCCTCCCAGGTGGAAGGATGCCTATAGAGGCATCTTTCTCTCCCTGAGGTTCCCGTTCTCCTCCCTGCATGAGGGGAGGCTGAGCCCTTTCCTGCATCCTGCCTTTACTCCTACCACCCGCTAAGCGGATTTCCTTCCCAGCCCACTTCTCCACACAAACCTAAGTCAATTACAAAGCCCACGTCCAAAATCACTACTCTATGAGACTTCCTCTCACCCCTCCTGTCAAAATCCATCTTTGGAGATATTCAATTAAACCACTTAATACAGATGATTGAATATAAATATTCACCACCCAGCACCATCCCCAAACCACACAAAAATGAGAGTAAAGGAATAAAAAGTCAAAACACAAAAGAAGAAAAAGAACAGGACAGAAGATAGCATCATACGAGAAATTTTATCTCCAATAAAAAGAAGAGAGAGCTCTGTCAGTTTAGTGAAAAAAAATTGTGGTAAAAAGCACATTTTTAAAAGGGTTATTCTCTACAGAAAAAAATATATATCAATAAAGTGTAGTCAGATAATATATTAAGTAGTGATAGAATGTGAGAATTAACAAAACAAAACAAAACCCTAATATGGCCGGGCATGGTGGCTCATGCCTGTAATCCCAGCCCTTTGGGAGGCCAAGGCGGGTGAATCACGTGAGCTCAGGAGTTCGAGACCAGCCTGGCCAACCTGGTGAAACCCCATCTCTACTAAAAATACAAAAATTAGCCTGGCGTGGTAGCAGGAGTCTGTAGTTCCAGCCAAATATTGATGTTGTTGCTTTTGTTACATGTCTTTAGGGAGACTTTTTAAAACTAACTACCTATAATTTCTAAGTGAAAAAAAAGGTTATTTTTAAAGGCAAATAGAAAATAAACTCATCACTACTTTCTATCCTATCAGACCTTATTAGACCTTTGTTTGTACTTCTCTTACCAGTTTCTATGGTATTTTGTATTACAGGTGTGCACTCTGCCTCACAAAATGACTGTCAGCCCCTTGAGGGAAAGTATCATGCCTTTCAGTTTTACATTCCTTGCCTGGCCCACCCCCACCAAGGGCTATCAGCAATGCGAGCACATATTTTGAGAGTTGCCATATTGAGAGGGTAGCTGTTATTAGAAGGACCACAATTGTAGACATAGAGTATTCCTATGCAACAAAGATTTATATTATGCAAGACACTTTGAGAAACAGTAGGCGGTATGGTATGAAACGATTAAGTTTGTAAACCAGTAGCTGTCATTTGCCAGTTAGTATAAATGAGTTGACTAGGTGCATTAGGTGAGGCAACATATATATATATATATATATATATATATATATATATATTTTTTTTTTTTTTTTTTTTGAGACAGTGTCTTGCTCTTTCTCTCAGGCTGGAGTTCAGTGGCACAATCTCGCTGAATGCAGCTTCCGCCTCTCAGGTTCAAGCAATAGTTTGGGTCTGCTGATATCAGATATGGCTCTAGCTAAGTTAGACTATGGAACCAGCTATGGGCCCTAAATGAAAGACAACAGTTTTGAGTTTGAGCAAAACTCAAATGCTGAATAACTGCCTTCTGGCAGATTCAAACGACAGTGAGTATCACTTCTCAACACATGGGATAGAATGGAAGTTTTTCTCTTAGGGACTCTAAATTCTCTTTTTTATCCTATTTCCTATTCTCACTCACCTTCAGAAGTGAATTCTACCTTTCTCTCAGGCTGGAGTGCAGTGGCACAATCTCTGTTCAATGCAGCTTCCGCCTCTCAGGTTCAAGCGATTCTCCTGCCTCAGCCTCCCAAGTAGCTGCAATTACAGGCACCTGCCACCATGCCCATTAACTTTTTGTATTTTTAGTAGAGACGGGATTTCACCACATTGGCCAGGCTGGTCTCAAACTCCTGACCTCGAGTGATCTGCCTGCCTTGGCCTCCCAAAGTGCTGGGATTAAAGGCTTGAACCACCGCGCTCAGCCACAATACATATGTACTTTTGTCAGAACTCAGAGTAACTGGAAAATAATGAAAGTATGATGTAATGAATTCACTTCACCCTCAAAAGATCCTGATTCAGCAGTTCAGAGCTATGGCTGTGAGATCTACACTTGTGTAAAGCTCATCAGAATATTTTAATGCTGCTGTCAGGGTTGGAAATCACTACAGGTTTAGAATTCACTTCTGAAGGTGAGTGAGAATAGGAAATAGGATAAAAAAGAGAATTTAGAGTCCCTAAAAGAAAAACTTCTATTCTAGCCCATGTGTTGCGAAGTGATACTCACTGTCATTTGAATTTGCCAGAAGGCAGTTATTCTGCATTTGAGTTTTGCTCAAACTCAAAACTGTTGTCTTTCATGTAGGGCCCATAGCTGGTTCCATAGTCTAACTTAGGTAGAGCCATATCTGGTATCAGCAGACCCAAACTATCAAGGCAATACAGTTACGTGAAAGTTGCTAAGAAAACACCGTTTCCCCTAGTCTACACATTTTACAGACATTTTGGGACATAGACACTGTAATTTCTTTCTTAATCCATGAATAATTATGTCTTTTAAACAAGCTGTTCCTAAGAGTTCTATAATAAAATCTGTAACTGCTAGCCCTAAAACATTTGCTCATAGCTGATACTTCAATACAACTTAAAATGAACTCCAGCCTCAGATGTAAGGATTTATGTGGTATTCTGAAATATTATGCTGTCTAGTCATCATATAATGACTGCATGGCCAAATAAACATTTGAATAACTGCTCAGTTGCTCTACTAATCAAACTAATGAAAGTTAAAGCAGCAATAGAATATTTTTTCTACCCAAATGGCAAATATTATTAAACTTATAGTACCTAGTGTCAATTACATGCACAAAAATTTATACAAGTTTTTTTTGTTGTTAATAGTAAAATCTAGAAACAATCTAAATGTCTCACAATAGGAAGATGATTAAATAAATGGACAATTATTCAGGCATTAAAATGAAGAAACAGTTGTCATAGAATTTTTTAAGGCAAAGTATGAAAATTGATATATAACATTCAGCAGTTTTATAAAATATAAACATTTATATATGAATAGCATATCTATCTCTATATGTAACAATATAGCAATATAACTATTTCTGGATGATAATAATATTGGCAATTTTTATTTTTTATAACTTCTCATGGTTTTCCACATATTGCACCATTAAAATGTGTCATATATTTTTAATTAAAAAACAATAATATTACTTGCTTAGTAATACAACCTCATGGACAATAGTCATCAAGTAAGAAAAGCAAATGCTAAAGACTATTGCCTTAATTCCAGAGAGACTTTGAGGTCTGATTCAATTAGGGAGAGAAAAATCATTACTTTTTTTCCCTCTGAGATGTTTTCTATATGTTGTCAGAATTGGAGGTAAAATATACCATGTGGAACACTAAATCAAGAAAAAATAGATCCATTTTAAGAGGGGGTGTTTTGAACTTATTATTATAAGTGCACTTATTCACAGCACATTAGGCTTTAATAATAAAACAGCACCTTCCTTTCTCCGTGCCTGATAGTTTTCCTGCTCTGTCCTCACACTTCTGAACAGGAAAATAAATCAAATTATGCCAACAAAAAGCATAGTATTCTCCAAAGAGAGGCCCTGTGTCCCTCCCTCCCTTTATTCTATATTGTGCTTGAAGAAATCACACGGGACCCTCTCATTGAATCTGTCTACATATAAACCCTTTGGAAATACCAGGCAGCCTCCCCTTCCCCAAATCACGTACAATTCCCATTAATGTTAATAGGAGCTATGTGGAGGGATGAGGAAAAACTATTCCCCATTATCTTTTATTACATTTTTATTTTATGAACTGGTCTCTTTGATGATAAATCAGTGCTACTACAAAACCATAATTCTTTGGGGAAAACCTCCACGAAATGTCCCTTCTCTGTGTTATTCTGATGCTGTCAAAAAGAAAAATTTAAAAGACGAAACACAAGCCTACTGTTTTTGACATGTAGTAACTACTGTACTGTGGATGACATCCCATATAAAGGGCCAACTTTATTGTTCATAATCAGCAGCAACTGCAGTTTTGCTAAAAAGAAAAAAAAAACTGCCTGAGGTCATTATCATTGTATTTTACAAACAACCATCCAGCAGCTGGCAATTAGATAACCCAGAATCAAATCATGCCTACCATTAGGTATGCCTCAGAAGCCCAAATGCTTCAGAGTCATCAGTTGGCAGAAGTCCAGTCATGGCAACATGGCCCTGCCTTGTGGCTGGCCACACTGGAATGGCCTTAATTGTGTTTTCTCTAGAGAAGTACGAGGATTCATATCTTTATTCTCTTGATCTTTATTATTTCCATACTGTTGATCTAATACTGCAAATATATCATTTTCTGTATACTTCTTTTTATATGAAGCCCACCCTTACCTCCATACCTCTGTTAAAGTAACTCCCTAAACTGAAAATATCTTGTTTTCTTTCTCACCACGAGCTCTTTTCTCCACGAGCTCTTTTACCCAAATATTCTGGCCCACATTGTTCTTTTCCCCTTGCCCTCACCTTTTTGTATTATTATTAAGCTATATTTTTAGAGCAGTTTTAGGTTCAAGGCAAAATTGATCAGAGTTTCTCATGTACTTTCTGTTCCCACATGTAATACAACCTCCCCCACTATTGACATCCCACGATGACATATCTTTTACAATCAAAAAACCTATATTGATGCATTGTTATTATCTAAAGCCCATAGTTTACACTAAGTTTCACCCATGCTGTTGTGTATTCTATGGGTTTTAAGAAGTGTACATTGATGTGTATTCACACAGTACAGTATCACACAGACTAGTTTCACTGCCCCAAAAGTTCTCTGTGCTCTACCTGTTCCACAAAATCATGTACTACGAATCATATAGTCTTTCTAGGTTGGCTTCTTTCACATAGTAAAATTAAATTTGTTCAATGGCTTTTCATGGCTTTATAGCTCATTTCATTTTAGTGATGAATAATATTCCATTGTCTGCATGTATCATAGTTTATTTATTCAGCCACTGAGAAGCATCTTGACAGCTTCCCAGTTTCATCAGTGATGAATAAAGCTGTGATAAACATCCATATGAGGGTTTTTTTGGGGACATAAGATTTCAGCTCATTTGCGTAGATACCAAGAAGCACAATTGCTGGATATCTGGCCAAGGGTATGTTTAGTTTTGTAAGAAACTATAAAATTGTCTTCCAAAGTGACTGTACCATTTTGCATTCTCACCAGCAATGAATGAGCGTTCCTATTGCTCCATATCCTCACCAACGTGGGGTGTTGTCAGAGTTTTGGAATTAGGCTACAGTAACCAAAACAGCATAGTACTGGTACCAAAACAGAGATCTGGACCAATGGAACAGAACAGAGGCCTCAGAAATAATACCACACATCTATAACCATCTGATCTTTGACAAACCTGACAAAAACAAGAAATGGGGAAAAGATTCTGTATTTAATAAATGGTGCTGGGAAAAAAGGCTAGCCATATGTAGAAAGCTGAAACTGGATCCCTTCCTTACACCTTATACAAAAATTAATTCAAGATGGATTAAAGACTTAAATGTTAGACCTAAAATTATAAAAACCCTAGAAGAAAACCTAGGCAATACCATTCAGGACATAGGCATGGGCAAGGACTTCATGTCTAAAACACCAAAAGCAATGGCAACAAAAGCCAAAATTGACAAATGGGATCTAATTAAACTGAAGAGCTTCTGCACAGCAAAGGAAACTACCATCAGAGTGAACAGGCAACCTACAGAATGGGAGAAAATTTTTGCAATCTACTCATCTGACGAAGGGCTACTATCCAGAATCTACAAAGAACTCAAACAAATTTACTAGAAGAAAACAAACAACCCCAACAAGTGGGCGAAGGATATGAACAGACACTTCTCAAAAGAAGACATTTATGCAGCCGAAAGACACATGAAAAAATGCTCATCACTGGCTATCAGAGAAATGCAAATCAAAACCACAAGGAGATACCATCTCACACCAGCTAGAGTGGTGATCATTAAAAAGTCAGGAAACAACAGGTGCTGGAGAGGATGTGGAGAAATAGGAACACTTTTACACTGTTGGTGGGACTGTAAACTAGTTCAACCATTGTGGAAGTCAGTGTGGTGATTCCTGAAGAATCTAGAACTAGAAATACCATTTGATCCAGCCATCCCATTACTGGGTATATATCCAAAGGATTATAAATCATTCTACTATAAAGACACATGCACACATATGTTTATTGCAGCACTATTCACAACAGCAAAGACTTGGAACCAACCCAAATGTCCATCAGTGGTAGACTGGAATAAGAAAATGTGCCATATATACACCATGGAATACTATGCAGCCAAAAAAAGGATGAGTTCATGTCCTTCGCAGGCACACGGATGGAGCTGGAAACTGTCAACCTCAGCAAATTATCGCAAAGACAAAAAACCAAACACCGCATGTTCTCACTCAAAGGTGGGAATTGAACAATGAGAACACATGGACACAGGAAGGGGAACATCACACACCTGGGCATGTCGTGGGGGTGGGGGGAGTGAGGAGGGATAGCATTAGGAGATATACCTAATGTAAATGACGAGTTAATGGGTGCAGCACACCAACATGGCACATGTATACGTATGTAACAAAACTGCACGTTGTGCACATGTACCTTGGAACTTAAAGAATAATTTAAAAAAAAGGAATTTGGCTAATGTAATAGACATATAGTGGTTTCTCATTGTAATTTGCAATTCCCTCATGACATATAATGTTGAACACCTTTTCATATGCTTACTTGCCAGCTGATACAGTTTGGCTGTGTTCCCACCCAAAACTCAACTTGAATTGTGTCTCCCAGAATTCCCAGACCCAGGGGGAAGTAACGGAATCATGGGGGCCAGTCTTTCCCATGCTATTCTTGTGATAGTGAATAAGTCTCACAAGATCTGATGGGTTTATCAGGGGTTTCTGCTTTTGTTTCTTCCTCATTTTCTCTTGCTGCTGCCATGTCAGAAGTGCCTTCCACCTGCCATGATTCTGAGGCCTCTGCAGCCATGTGGAACTGTAAGTCCAACTAAACCTTTTTTTCTTCCCAGTCTTGGGTATGTCTTTATCAGTCGCATGAAAATGGACAAATACACCATCGGTATAACTTCTCTGGTGAAGTGTTAAGGGGTTTTTGCTCATTTTTTAATCAGGCTGTTCATTCACTTATTGTTGAGTTTTAAGAGTTCTTTGAACATTTTGAACAGTCCTTTATCAGTTATGCCTTTTACACATATTTCCTCCCTGTCTGTGGAGCATTCTCCATAGACTTATATTGTCTTTAGCAGAGTGAAAGTTTTCTATTTTAACAAAGTCCAGTTTATCAATTATTTTTTTCATGGATCATGCCTGTGGTGCTGTATCTAAAAAGCTATTCCATATCCAAGGTCATTGAGGTTTTATGTTATCTCCTAGGAGTTTTACAGTTTTGTGTGTTACATTTAAGTCTATAAACCATTTTGAGATAATTTTTGTGAAGGGTCCAAGGTCTGTGTCTAGATTGATTTTGTGTGTGGATGCCCAGTTGTTCCCACATCTATTGTTGAAAAGACTACCAATTCTCCACTGAATTGCCTTTGCCCCTTTGTCAATGATCAATTGTCTACATTTCATTGTGGGTCTATTTCTGAGCTCTCTATCCATTGACATATTTGTCTTTTTTTTCCCCCCAACACCACACTGTCTTGATTACTGTAGCTTCAAAATCTTTAAGTTAGGTAATGTCAGTCCTCTGACTTTGTTCCTCTCCAATATTCGCTTAGCTATTTTCTGCATTTTCAACGTCTCCATATACATTTTTGAATCAATTTCAATATCCACAAAATATTTGTGTGGTTTCATTACTATTGTGTTGAATTTATAGATCAAATTGGGAAGAACTGACATCTTGATAATACTGAATGTCTTCCTATGCATGATTGTGGAATGTCTCATTTATTTACTTCTTTAATATCTTCATTAGAGTTGTATAGTTTTTATTTGGACTTGATATATGTTTTGTTAGCTTTATAATTAAGTGTTCTGTTTTGCAGGGAACTAATTTTATATTCCACTTGTTCATTATTGGTAGATAGAAAGATGCTTGACTTTTGCACATTAACTTTGTATTCTGCAACACTGCTAAAATCACTAATTAGTTCCAGGAGGTTGTTTTAAATCTTTTTTTTTTTTTTTTTTTTTTCCAGATTTCTTCATAATCAAATTATCTGTGGACAAAGAAAGTTTTATATCTTCTTTCCCAAATAACACATTATTTTCTGTTTTATTGCATGAGTTAGGAATTCTATTGTCAAACAATGCACAGTTTACTTTTTTCTGTCTTATTGCATTAGCTAGGATTTCTAGTATGATGGTGAAAGCAGTGTTGAAAGAGAACATCCTTACCTTTTTCCTCAACTAATTAGGAAATCCGGTTTCTCACCATTAAGTATAATGTTGGCTGCAGGGTTTTTGTAGATGATGTATATTCAGTTGACAAAGCTGTCTTTTATTCCTAGTTTACTGAGAGTTTTTATTATGAAAATGTGTTGGATGAATGTTTTTGCACTTGACAAAGTCCAACGCATTTCATGATCATGTGATTTTTCTTATTTATCTTCTTTATGTTATGGATTTCTTTGATTTTCATAAACTGGACCAGCTTTGCACACCTGGAATAAATCCCACTTGGTCATGATGTATAATTCTTTTTATACATTTTATACATATTTTGATATGGATTTTTTCCCATTTATATTCATGAGAGATGGGCTGTAATTTTATTTTCTTGTAATGTCTTTATCTGGGTTCAGTATTAGGCCAACGCTGGCCTCATAAAATGAGTTAGGAAGTATTTCTTCTGTCTTCTAAAACAGATTGTAAAGAATTGGTATACAGTAAGTCCTCACTAAACATCATCAATAGGTGCTTGGAAAATGTGACTTTAAACAAAATGATGTATAATAAGACCATTTTATTCTCATCAATATTATAACTAAACAACATTGAACAAAATGATGTTATCTGAAGACCTGCTGTATGTCGTTTTGCTTAAATTTCCGTAATTTCTTCCATAAATGGTAGAATTAAACTATCTGGCCTGGAGCTTTCTGTTTTGGGAGGTTATTAAACATTGATTCCATTTATTAAATAAATTCCGTTTAATAAAAATAGGCCTAAACATATTGCCTATTTATTCTTGTGTGAATTTTGGCAGGTTGTGTACCTCTAAAAAATAATTCATTTAATCTAGGTTACCAAATTTGTAGGCATTAAGTTGTTCATAATATTCTTTTATTATCCTTTTCATGTGCATAGCATCTGTAGTGGTGTGCCTCTTTGATTTCTGATATTAGTAATTTGTGTCTTCTCTTTTTTCTTAGCATGTCTAGAGGCTTACAAACTTTATCGATCTTTTCAAAGAACCAGTTATAGATTTTGTTGATTTTCTTTATTAATTTCTTGTTTTCAATTTCATTGATTTCTGCTCTAATTTTTATCAGTTTTCCTACTTTGAATTTAATTTGCCCTTCTTTTTCTAGTTTCCTTAGACTATTGACTCTGTATCTTTCTTTTCTAATACATGTCATTCAACGCTACATATTTCCCTCAAAGCCCTGCTTTTGCTGTATCCCACAAATTTTGATAAGTTGTCAAATACTTCAAAATATTTTTAAATTTCTCTTAGTATTTCTTCTTCGACCCATGAGTTATTAAGAAGTACGTTATTGTTTAATCTCCAAGTATTTGGGGATTTTCCCGCTATGTTTCTGTTATTGGTTTAGTTTACTACCATTGTGGTGTGACAGCAGAGATTGTATGATTTCTATTATTTTCAATTTGTTAAGGTGTGTGTTATGTCCAGAATGTGTTCTCTCTTGGTGAATGTTCCATGTAAGCTTGAGAAGAACGTGTAATATACTTTTGTTGGTTGAAGTAGTCTAATGATGTCAATTATATTCAGTTGATTGATGGTGGTGTTGGGTTCAACTATGTCACTGATTTTCTCCCTGCTGGATCTGTATGTTTCAGAGAAAGGGTTGTTAAAGTCTCCAACTGAAATGGTAGATTCATCTGTTTCTCTTTGCAGTTATGTTTTCCCTCACCCATCTTGTTGCTCTGTTGTCAGTCACATAAATATTAAGGTTTATTATATATTATGTCTTCTTGGAGCACGAATCCCTTACCATTATGTAATGTCCCTTCTTTTTCTAAGAACTTTCCTTGCTTGGAAGTATCTTCTGTCTGAAATTAATATATTTCATAAAATACTCCCAATTTTGAAAAAGTAGTATTAGCATATCTTACTTCATTCCTCTATTTTAATCTATATGTGTCTTTATGTTAAAAGTGTAGAAAACATATAGTTGAATGTTGTTTTTTGATACACCCTGGCAATCTCTTTTAATTGGTGAATTTAAAATATTCATATTTAAAGTGATATTCATATGGTTGGATTGATGACCTTCGTATTTGTTACTGTTTTCTATTCGTTGCCTTGGTCTTTGCTTCTATTTTTGTCTTCCACACTTTTTCTGTCTTTTGTGGTTTTATTTGGAGATTGTATGTGATTTCATTTTCTATCCTTTCTTAGCATGTCAATTATACTTCCTCTTTTTTTTAGAGTAAAACTCTTATTGGTGGTTGCTCTAGACTTTGCAACATTTAAAACTATTCCAAGTCCACTTTCAAATAGTATTATAATAACACTTCACAGACAGTGTACATATTTATAACAAAATACTCATAATTCCTCTAATGCTTTATGTCATTGCTGCCATTCTTTTCACTTGTACACAACAATGCATGAGTATGTATGTTAGGCTGTTTTTAATACCTGAGACTGGGCAATTTATAAATAAAAGAGATTTATTTGGCCCATGGTGCTACAGCCTCTACAAGCACAGTATCAATATCTGTTCAGCTCCTCGTGAGGGCCTCAGAAAGCTTACAGTCATGACAGAAAGTGAAATGGGAACAGGCACATCACATGGTGAGAGTAGGTACGAGAGAGAGGCGGGTGGTGTCACAAACTTTTAAACAACCAGATCTCACATGAACAGAGCAAGAACTCACTTATCACCAAGAAGATGGTGCTCAATTATCACCAAGAGGATGGTGCTAATACCTCCATGAGGGATCCACCCTCATGATACAATCTCCTCCCACCAGGCCCCATCTCTAACATTGAGAATCACATTTCAACATGATCTTTGGAGGGGGCAAACATACAAACTATATTATTCCTCCCCTTGCCCCCCAAATCTCATATCCTTCTCACAATGCAAAACACAACCATCCCTTCTCAATAGTTCCCCAGAGTCTTAACTTGTTCCATCATCAACTCAGTCAAAAGTCCTAAATCCAAAGTTCAAAGTCTCATCTGGAGATGAGGTCCTTCTGCCTGTGAGCCTGTGAAATCAAAGACAAGTTATTTACTTCCAACATAGAATGATGGTACAGGCATGGGGTAATCATTTCTGTTCCAAAGGGAGAAACAGGTCAAATAAAGGGGCAACAGGCTCCATCCAAGTCTTAAACCCATCAGAGCAATCATTAAGTCTTAAGTCTCTAAAATAATCACCTTGACTCCATGTCCCACATCCAGGTCACACTGGTGCATGGATGAACTCCAAAGGTTTTGGGCAACTGCCCCTGTGGCATTGCAGGGTGCAGCCCCCATGACTGCTCTCATAGGCTGAAGTTGAATGACTGTGGCTTTTTCATGCTAAGATTGCTAGCTGTTAGTGGTTCTACCATTCTCAGGTCTGGAAGGCAGTGGCCCCTTTCCCACTGCTGCAATGGGCAGTGCCCCAGTGGGGACTCTGTGTGGGGGCTCCAACCCCACTTTTCTTCTCAATACTGCCCTAGTAAAGTATCTCTGTGTGGGCTACCCCCAGACCCCTGTGGCAGCCTTCTTGCCTGGGTACCCAGGCTTTTCCATACATCCTCTGAAAACTAGGTGGAAGCTGCCATGCTTCATTCACTTTTGCACTCTTAGTACCTGCAGGCTTAACACTATGTGGAAGCCACCAAGGCTTATAGCTTGCATCCTCTGGAGTGGTGAGCCAAGCTGCACCTGGAGACCTTTAAGCTGTTGGTGTAGCCAGAGCAGCCAGGATGTGGGGATCTGTGTCCTGAGGCTACAAGGCCTTGGGCCTGGCCCACAAGACCATTCTTTCCTCCTAGGCCTCTGGGACTCTGATGGGGTGTGGGTGCGGAGTGGGGAATGATGCCTAGATGATCTCTGAAATGCCTTCTAGGCTTTTTTCCCCATTGTTCTAGATATCAGTACTTGGCTTCCTTTTAGTCACGCAAATCTCTCTTGCAAGTGGTTGCTCTGCAGACCACTTGTATTCCTCTCCTGAAAACACTTTTTCTTTCTCGGCCACGTGTCAGGCTGCAAATTTTCCAATCTTGTACTCTTTGCTTCCCTTTAAAATATAAGCTCAAACTTCAGGTCATTTCTTTGCTCCCGTATCTGAACATAGGAAGTTAGAAGCAGCCATGCCACATCTTGAAAACTTTCCTGTTTAAAAATTTCCTCTGCCAGATACCCTAACACATCACTGTTACGTTTAAACTTCCACAGATACCTAGGACATGGACAAAATGCAGCCATGTTCTTTGCTAAAGCATTACAAGGGAGACTTTTTTTCCAGTTCCCAGTAATTTCCTCATTTCTATCTGAGACCTTGTAAGCCTTGCCTTCACTGTCCGTATTTTTATTAGCAGTTTGGTTATAACCACTTAACAAGTTGCATAAGTTCCAAAATTTCCCTCATCTTTCTGTTTTCTTCTGAGACCTCCAAACTCTTTCAACCTCTGCCTGTTATTCATTTCCAAAACCACTTCCACATCTTCAGGTATCTTTATAGCAACACCCCTCTCCTTGGTACCAGTTTTCTGTGTTAGGCCATTTTTGCATTTCTATGAAGAAATACCTGAGACTGGGTAAATTATAAAGAAAAGAGGTTTAACTGGATTGTGGTTCTGCAGGCTGCACAAGCAGGTCACTAGCACCTGCTCGACTTCTGATGAGGGTCTCAGGAGGCTTACAATCATGGTGGAAGGTGAAGTGGAGCAGGCACATCATATGGTGAAAGTAGGAGAAAGAGAGAGAAAAGGTAGATACCACACACTTTAAACAACCAGATCTCATGTGAACTGAGTGAGAACTCATATATCACCAAGGGGATGGAGCTAAACACCTTCATCGGGGATCTGCCGTGATGATTCAGTCACCTCCCACAAGGTCCCACCTTCAACATTGGGAATCACATCTCAACGTGAGATTTGGAGGTGACAATCATCCAAACTATATCAGCATGTATGCATACACACACGCACAACACAGAGTACATTATTGCTATTATTGTATTGAATGGTTACCAGTTTTATCAATTAAGAAAAATAAAAGCTTTTATATTTTACCTTCATTTATTCCTTTTCTAATGCTTTTTATGTCAATCTGAGTTTGTGATCTATATAACTTTTCTTCTCTCCAAAGAACTGTTTTTTGTTTTTTTTTTTAACATTTATTACAAAGCAGATCTACTGGCAATCAATTCCCTCAATTTGTGTTTATCTGAGAAAGCCTATTTCTTCTTCATATTTGAAGAACAATTTCACAGAGTACAGAATTCTACGTTAGTAATTTTCCCCCTGAACACTTCAAATAATTCCTTCCACTTTCTTCTTGCTTGCATGATTTCTGAGGCCAAGTCAGATATAACTCTTATCTTTGCACCTCTGTAGGGAATGTGTTATTTTCCTCTGACTTCTTTCACATTTTTTATCTTTGATTTTTTGAAGTTTAAACATGATATGCTTTTCTGTCATTTATCCTACTTGGTGATCTCCTAGCTTCCTGGATCTCTGGTTTGGTATTTGACATCAATTGGAGGGAATTCTCAGTTGTTATTGCTTCAAATACTTCTTTTCCTTTCTCCTTTTCTTCTCCTCTGGCATCACCATTATGCATATTTATATCATTTTTTGCTGTTTTCAGCTCTTGAACATTTTGTTCTATTTTTCTCAATCTTTGTTATCATTGCTTTTCAGTTTTTTAGTTTCTATTGTCGCATCTTCCAGCTCAGAGTTTTTTTCCTCAGCTGTGTCCAGTCCACTGACAAGCCTGCCAAAGGCATTCTTATTTTCTGTTACATTGTTTTAAATCTCTAACACTTTTTTAATTTTTTCTTAGAAGTTCCATCTTTCTGATTCCCTTATCCACCTGTTCTTGCCTTTTGTCTACTTTTGTCATTAAAATGCAAAGTGTATTAATCATAGTTTTTAAATTTTTCTCATCTTATATTTCCAACATTGCTGCCATATCTCTCTCTGGTTCTGATGCCTCTTCATTCTCTTTAAACTATTTTTTTTCTTGCTTTTACTATTCCTCGTATTTTTTAAATTGAAAGGTGGACATAATTTACTGAGTGAGAGGAACTACAGTAAATGGGCCTTTAATAACATGGGTGGAAATGTGTGGGGCAGGGGAGGCGTTCTACAGTCTGATAAGGTCTCAGTCTCTTGGTGGCCCTGTTACTCTTGACTGTGACTTTCACCAGTGCTTCTGAGTTGCTGTCTTTTCTTCCTGCTTAAGTGGCAAAGGAAGCTACTAAAGGGGATTGGAGAGTTGCGTATTTTTCTTCACACCAGGTAGGTTAAGCCCTAAGCTCTAAAACAAACAAACAAACAAACAAAACCAAAACCCAGATAAAATAGTTTCTCTTGAGGGCAGGTCTTGTTAAGAACAGTGCTCCTGTGTATTTCAAGGTAGTTACTTTACCCCTTGCCCTATTGGAAGCAGCAGAGAGGTTTTCTCCAATATTCACTGTGAGAACTTCGTTGTACTCCAGGAGGTAAAACTCACAAAAGTGTTCCCCTCCCTCAAAGCCCTCTCCATCCAACTGGATCCTCCTGGAATTTTTAATTCTCAGATTTATCCACACTAACCCTACAGCAATTCGTCATTTAAACTTCAGGTACTCCCATTCCTGCAATGATTCTTGCCTAAGTTTCTGCTCGTGGTTTTCTGCTCTACTAAGTTGTGATTATCTTTATCCATCTGTCTCTTCATTTTCTGGAGCATCATTTTGCCCTCTGAACTCACTTCTCTGAAAATCCCTAAGGAGAGTTGTTGATTTTTCAGTTTGTTTAGCTTTTTACTTGTTGGGAGGACAGGGTGGAGACATCTAAACTCCTTCAATGCCAGATTGGAAACCAAAAATCCTGTTCTCTTCCCTTCCCACATTTTTCTTAAGTTTCTAAGTGCCACACAATTTATATTGATTACACGTTTTATGATATGAATCTTTACCTTTTTATCTATATCATCAAATTGACATTAAACTTGTTTTCTTAAGAAAATGTCTTACACAGTCTTTATTCTACTGTCCCCACAACACCCAGTACTGTTCAATAGGTGTCCACTAAATGATCAATAATTGATTGTTTGTGAATAGTTTCTAATCTATGAGCACTCCTTTGGTGAATCATACCACCTTGTGACTTTAATTTAAGTGGAAGTTGAATATCCTGGACTGTGAAAATGTACAATGATATAAAAAAGCTACTAGAAATCAGTAATGCATTTTAAGAATATTAATTTCAGGAATCCAAACAACATTAAAAATAATATTATATATATTAACAATATATAAATTTATTTTGTTAACTAGATAATACTTTTGGACAAATTGAATATACAAAGGACTTCTTGCAAAAATTTTGCAGGACCTAACTCCTCTCCTTCCCGCCTCAGATGAGCTAGAGTTCAAATCTTAGCTTTGTTGCTTACTAGTGATGGGAATAACTATGGGTTAATGGGGAGTAACTGGCAGTTAACTTAATCTCTGTGAGGCTCAGTTTCTTCATGGATAGGACTGTGATTATATTTACATTGTGGGATGTTTGAGAATATTAAATAATATGGAATGGACAGAGTAGCCAATATAATCCCTGGAAGATAGCAGTAGGTGCCCTGAAAATGTTACTTCTCATTTTTCTCATCTTCTACTCTTTTACATGCAAGAAAATAAATTGTCTCTATGGATGAATGTATGAATTCTCTTTATTAGGAGAAACATCAACTATGTAATTCAATGTAATTTTTTTTTCTGCTTTAGCTGCCAATAATCTCTAAGCCAAAAGTATTGCTCAAGTATTTTAATCTAGTCAGTTCTTATTCTGGCAAGACTACTTTCTTGTGTATCTTTCCTATAGATGAGGATCAGTTTTCAATCAAATCATCTCAATTATCCCAATGCACTAAATTCATAAATACACATCAATTTAGGTACAAATTATACATACTAGGGAAAGCACTGCATTAAAAATAAGAAAACCTGAGATTTGCTCCCAGCTTTTTCACTATCTGTTGTGCTTAGACATATAATATTAATAGGCTTCAGTAGTATTATGGCCATGCATCCCTAATCAACAGAAATATGTTCTGAAAAATGCATCATTGGGCAATTTCACTGTTATGGCAACATCATATAGTATACTTACACAAATCTCAATGGTACAGTCTGCTATACACCTAAGCTATAAGGTATAAGCTATTGCTCCTAGGCTATAAACCTGGACAGTGTGTTACTGTACTGAATACTGTAGGCAATGGTAAGTTCTTATATATCTAAACATAGAAAAAGCACAATAAAAATATGGTATTATAATCTTATGGGGCCACCATCATATATGTGGTCTATCATTGACTGAAATATTATGTGGTGCATGACGGTAAATAATTTTTGAGACCAAAATTATAATATGCAGTTATTCTGATCCTTAAATATCAACAACTTCAGAATAGACATTAGGCTTTACACAATTTTTTTTACTGTGTCAATTTTTAAAGACAGAAACTAAATGTATATATATAAATATCTTGAGAAAATGTCCACTGATATTTCTCTCTTAAGCATGCTTATAGATAGCTAAAACTAGAATAATAAATTAAGTCTCCCCAGCTTATAAGACTTTATCTTTTAGTGAAGAAAACAATTTTTAAGTCCTCTGAGAAAATTTGAACTTTCCTTTGGTCCACCTAAAACTTTTATTTTTACAAAACATTTGGCTAGTGAAAGGGACATTGGATTAAGGGGCAAATTTTAAAATACACTGGGGGCCGGGTGCAGTGGCTCACGCCTGTAATCCCAGCACTTTGGGAGGCCGAGGCGGGCGGATCACGAGGTCAGGAGATCGAGACCACGGTGAAACCCCGTCTCTACTAAAAATACAAAAAATTAGCCGGGCGCAGTGGCGGGCGCCTGTAGTCCCAGCTACTCGGGAGGCTGAGGCAGGAGAATGGCATGAACCCGGAAGGCGGAGCTTGCAGTGAGCGGAGATCGCGCCACAGCACTCCCGCCTGGGCGACAGAACGAGACTCCGTCTCAAAAAAAAAAATAAAATAAAAATAAAAATAAAATACACTGGGTAAACGCTTGTAGTTAGAGAAGAAAAGAGGCTACATAAACCCGAGGTGTTATTTTTATAAGTTCCTTACATAAAATGCCAAATACTTTTACAAACTTGAATTATTTCATATATTAAAAACTAAATTTTAAATTACAGTATTTTTATTTTATGAAAAGAGTAACTATGTTTTATAAAATATGATAGCAAAATGAAACTTCTTTCACATTCATAGATGTGTTTCTAATGTTTGTGACAACACAGCCATAATCTCTCTATACAAATGTGTTATATATTTTCATATTTTGACATAGTTCACATAGACGCAGAATATCCATCTTAATATATATTTGTTTGACTTGATCTTCAGTTCTTTAGACATTTTCTTTTGTTATTATTATAAATTTTGCAGACAAATATGAAATCAAGTTAAAAGGATAAAAATGCATTTATTCATTCAATTCCCATTGTCAGCTTCCCTAACTTAATAAGAAAGCAAACATTTCCAAGTATTATACCTTAAGCTAAAGATTTCTATTTGCTTTTAGCCTGTGTCTACCATGAGCCAATATAATGCTAAGTAAGCACACATCTTTTCTTTTTAAACTGAGACTAATATTTTATAGTGCTTTAAAAAGCCAATCCATCTGATATTCTCACACTCATGACCCTTTCTAGTGTACAGTTTTCTGGCTAGAGAAACAAGATGTATCTGTCCATTCCTATAACACATTTTCGCTTACTAAAATCTATTTATTTATTAGGTGGCCTGGAATTGAAATATGTGGAAAATCAGAGTCCTCATAAATGCTTAAGAACAATGACTTTTCTAACCTATCACCCTCAATTATATAACTTTATTCTTTTTCAATCATTGTACTATTTTATTTTTCTAAAATAACTTCTAAGGTCACTTCAAATGACCTTAGAACAGACTTGGCAGATTCACTAGATTTACAAACACAGAAGACATGAGACAGTACATCAAGCTTTACAAAGGTTACTTTCAGATCTGACTTTCTGAAAGCAATAAGAGAAAAGAAGGATAAGAAGTATTTAAAAAGCATGATCCTTTTTCTCAGATATGTATTATGCTAGCAATATTTGAAGACTCATGAAACATTCCAAATATAAATGAAATGCTGGCAATGTTAAAATATGTAAATTAAGAATAAGAAAACCCAGGGGTAATTCATAATCCACCCCAAAATAATGTTTTCAAAGGTTCCATATGCTACCTCCTATGCTAAATGTCTTCCTTCACATGTGCTAACATTCTGTATTCATTGCAGGATATCAAATGCAGGAAGTGAATTTCACCATTTGTTTCATCATTTGATATTAGGAAGTTACGAATAGTATATTGGATCTTGGGAAGTTAGGAGTAGCATATTGGAGAGTGCAGGCTTAAAGCTGGAGCTCAGTTCTACCCTTGACTCTAGCATTAACTAGCTTTATCATGTTAACACATCAGTTCACTTTTCTACACAATTAAAATTCACTCAATGTTCTGTGTTTTAAAAATATAATCTTCGCTTGAAAAAAGTAAATGACAAACTGCATTGTTTCTTCTAGACAAGAAAGAGAAGCGCTAATGAAGACTACTTCGGTAACATAATTTCTTGAAAGGCCAAGGCTTTCAACAGCAAGAGAAGACAACACTAAACAAATTCTTAGCAGATTTCTCAGCACAGATGGCAAACCACAAGAAACTAGCTTGATGCAGGCTTTGCACAAGAACTTCAGTTCTATGTGGTTCCCTCAAGTTGATAATCCCAACAAAACTGTGTGACTGAATGGTCTGCATTTTTTTTTTTTTTTTTTACAAAATCAGGGAACTTTATAATCTGGAGGTTATCAGGAAATTACTGAAATTTTGACCAAAATAATACTAGTGCAGTTACTGGTATATTATCAGATAAAATATATTTTAAAAAGCAATATGCATTACTAGCGTACAGATATTCTCTGCATAATACAAGTATGTATGCATTCAATAACATAGACTAAATATATATATATATATATATATATATATATAAAATTGATCAAAGTCCAAGGAGAAATAGACAAAGATACAATCATAGTGAATGATAGAATTTAACACTTTTTTCGGTAATTGATAAATTATTGTAATTGGTAAAATACAGTAATTGGTAAAATACAGTAATTGGTAAAAGTAGCAGGAAAAAAGGATATAAAAAACATGACTATCAAATTTGATTCATTGTAATTGGCACCTAAATAGATACTATTTTCAAAATAAAAAACAAAACAACAATAAGAGGGAGGAAACATTTCCCCAAATATCAAATCAATTTAGCGTTAATATCAATATTAAAGAATTCCTACAAATAAATTTTGAAAAGAAAGAAAAATAAAACAATTGACAAATAGGCAAAAGCTGCTTCACAAAAGTGGTGGTTGCAAGGCTATCTTTGTAGAGGTAATTATGATGTCTACTTTGGGAATATCAGAATTGCTTCTATGAAGATACTTTTGAATCTTCACGATAGATTCTATTGCATAGTTTTCTCCAAACTAGGTTCTCTGGCTTCACTGGAGATTCTGTGAATCTAATTTTTTAAAAATAAACTCTTTTTCTTCTTAAACTAGTCAAAGCAGTATCTCTCTGTGTTTTATTTTTTTGTTTGAACACAAACTCTTAATGACATAGATGCTAACACGTGGACTGTATGGCAAAGTTTAGGCATCACTGACTCTATACATTTAAGTGACTCTAAATTTAATCCTGCCACCACTAGCTGATACCCACCCTACTGTCACTTTTCCAAATGCCCACATATACTAGTTCCATTGTTCCAGTTTTTCATCTGATTTGACTTGCCCTTTACCCCTCTCGCCAACATTAGAATTCCAGTTTCTCTAGGATGCCAACAATTTCAGAGTTGAGCATCTTCACAAGTCACCCTGTGGAGGATTTAAACCCTGTTACAGCAAAGGTTGTGTTTTCTAAATCCTGCTGACCAAACTTCTTGGTGGCCAGAAAAGCATCAAAGTGAGGGGAAAGGAACTGGCCTACCAGAGACCTATCAGAGACCATTATAGGATGAAAAAAACATCTAAAAGACCACATCTTTCCTATATAATTATGTTTCCAGAGGATAAGAATCATTCTTCTTACTAGTTTTTTCCTTAATAACTTGTTTTGCCCCAAACTTGACTATTTAGCCGAAAATTCATGTTTCCCAAAAATAGTATTATATAATAGGCTATATAATGCTAGTATTATCTGCCTACAAATTCCATTGTCTACAATATAGCCTTGCCTGTTTTGTTCAACCTAGAGAGCCTACAATCATGTCTAAATAAAACTCATTGACTATTGATACGCCTGTTCCCCTAAAATGATGACATAATTTAAAAATAGTAAATTGACCCAACCAGAGTAAGCAGGTCCTCATTAAAGAGCAAGATAGGCAGAGCTAAATGCACACAAGTCATACATCACTTAGGACAAGAAGACATTCTGAGAAATGCATCGTGGGGCAATTTCATTGTTGTGCCAATATGATAGAGTGTACTTACATAAACCTAGATGGTGTAGCCTACTACACATTTAGGCTATATGGTAGAGGCTACTAAGCAACAAACCTGTAGAGCATGTTACTCTACTAAACACTGTAGGCAATTTTAACACAATGGCATCTGTGTATCTAAACATAGGAAAGGTACAGTAAAAGTATGGTTTTTTTATTTTTTTATTTTTTTGGAGACAAAATTTAGCTCTTGTTGTCCATGCTAGAGTGCAGTGGTGTGATCTTGGCTCACTACAACCTCCACCTCCTAGGTTCAAGCAATTCTCCTGCCTCAGCCTCCCAAGTAGCTGGGATTACAGGTGCCCACTACCATGCCCAGCTAATTTTTGTATTTGTAGTAGAGATAGGGTTTCACCATGTTGGCCAGGGTGGTCTCAAACTCCTGACCTCAGGTAATCTGCCCTCTTCAGCCTCCCAAAGTGCTGGGATTACAGGCATGAGCCAGTACGCCCAGCCAAAATACGGTATTATAAGTTTATGGAGGCACTGTTGTATATGCGGTTCATCATTGATTGCAGCACATGACTGTACTTTATACCTTTCACTCAAGTGAAATTTTTCCTTCCTCTCTCATCAGTGATATTTTTTCTGCCTCCAAGGTTATTGATGCCCTTGTGTCTGAAAACACATAAAGTGTTGCCCCATCCCCCTTCCTCTTCTATAAAATATATAAACCTGTTGCCCATTCTTCAGAGTCCTGCCCTAATTACACTCAGCTAATTCACATCATTATCTATGCATTAACTATCTATTACATACATAACATATCCATCCTGGGAGCTCAAAGTTAAGCAAAATATATCTCTGTGTAATCTCTTATCCTTAGGAAATTCTTTGGCAGAATCAGCCCTGCTGCGGAAAAAAAAAAAAAGGCAGACTGTGATCATCCCTCTGGTCCTGAATGGAGTGAATGAGACAAAATCTTGTTTTCACAGTTCAAGTTTCTTTGCAGGTATAGATGCTAGCCAGTAGAAGAGGTAAAACAATGTAAATGAACAAGGACGTGGTGATTTTGACTGAGCCTATGGAAGATAATATGGACTCAAGCTAGCCATTATATACATACTCAGTTTCCTTGCTTCATGACTGCTCCCACTGTCTGTGGCACAAATTCTTCCTGAATACCAACCTGAACTTCTGCTCAGAGGAGTTTACGGACACCATGTGTGACACCACCTCTAATTAACGTGTGCATGGATTTTCTTCACTGTAATGGCATTACCATGAGGAAGAAGCCTGTTGCCAGGGCAACAGTACTGTGGATTCTTCCCAGTGCAGTCACTGCTGAAAACTTCATCTTCCAGAACTTTCCCAGTTTTTTTGACGAATAAAATGTTTTGATCAAGAGTGTAAACCTACTGCCCTTACTGACTGGTTTCTCTCCTTATTTTGTTGTGGTTTGGTGGTGGTGATGGTGATTGTCATTGATGTTAGCTTTTGGTTGTTGTATTATTATCGTTTTTTTCTCTCTATTTTTACTCAAGAGGGAGCTGATCTGTATAGTTTCCCTGAATGTCTTCATGATTTTAATTTTTGTAATCTCCACTAATATTCATTCCGTCTATAAAACAAATCCTTTCCTGAATTTTACTTGTTGTCAGTTTTCCCAATTCAACATGACTCAATCTCTGAAAGTATCTTCTTACTCTTATTGTCTCTCCATAAAAGAGTATATTGCAGTTTTTCTCTGCATGTCCTTCTTGCCTTTCTTTTTAACCACATTACTTTGCTACATTACTTTAAAGCTAATATTCAAAACATATATTTTTATAATTGCTTTACAATTAAATACATAGAACTACATAAAATATCAACTCTCCAATTCATTCTGTCAAAGAATACTTTTAATAAGCTCCAAGCATTTCATTGAGAAGCAATACTTTTTAAACCTCACAGATAAGACCTACTCCTTTTTCTTATTTCTAATTGTGCCTGATTTCTTCCAGTGTTTCCCAATGTAGTTTTCATTGCTAAGTCAGAATAAATTCAAACTTTCTTGCTATGTGAAAGCTGAAATGTAGTTCCTACTTTGAAGTGTTCTCTGGGTAGGAATAAAAATATTCCACATGTTAACACTTTGCATTCTCTCATTAGAATTTTATTCAGATTTTACTGCATGTTGAAATCTTCAGAGCTCAATAAGTAGCAGCCTTCTTTCCTACTCAGGATATGAACAAATTGTGAAATAAGTAAGACACAGAATTGACAGATCAGAGACCAAAATACTATATTTCAAAAAATCTAATACTTCATGGGCTGGAAGACATTTTGCAATTTCAGAAATGATAAATGTGAAAAGTACATGATAGTTGCTGAAATGTGCTATACCCTGTACCACTGATAAAGGTAGGCTGTGGGACATCATTTCTGCCTTTAAAAGAGTATCTCTACCAATCAGAATCACAAAATTAGACTCCCAGGCAGTGACAGGCAAGGCTGGCCTGGAGCAGACCTCCTCCACAAGGAGGGAGAGTTGGTGCAGCCCAGACAAGACTTGCAGCCTGAAGAAACAGAAAACACCTGAACCAGGCTGGGTGCGGTGGCTCACACCTGGAAATCAGCACTTTGGGAGGCCAAGGCCGGTGGATCACCTGAGGTCAGGAGTTCACCTGACCAACATGGTGAAACCCTATCTCTACTAAAAATACAACAAATTAGCAGTGTGTGTGGCAGGCACCTGTAATCCCAGCTACTCGAGAGGCTGAGGCAGGAGAATCACTTGAACCTAGGAGGCAGAGATTGCAGTGAGCTGACATTGCAGTGAGCCAAGATTGTGCTATTGCATGTAGCCTGGTGACAGAACGAAACTCCATCTTTAAAAAAAAAAAAAAAAAAAAAAAGGAAAACAAAGAAAAAAAAAAGAAAGCACCTGAACCTTACTGGCAATCTGCTTTTCAGAGTAGCATGCAAGAGGAGGAGGCTGGACCTCTCATGCCTGTTGTCTCCTTCTAAACTGTCTTAGTCTGTTTTGTGCTGCTATCACAAAATGCCACAAACTAGGTAATTTATGAAGAACAGAAATTTATTTCCCCATAGTTTTGGAGGCCAGAAAGTCCAATATTAAGGGGCTGGCATCTAGTCAGGTCCTTTTTGCTTTTTGCTATGTCAGCCCATGGTAGAAGGCAAAAGGGCCAGAAAGAGTAAGACAGAGAGAGAGAGAGCAAGAGGGGTCAAAACATCCTTCTATAAAGAATCTTTTCTCAAAATAACAAACCCATTCCTGCAATAATGGCATTAATCTATGCATAAAGGTGGTGCCCTCATGACCCAAACACCTTCTGTTAGGCCCCACCTCCCAACACTGACACATTGAGGATCAAGATTCCAATGTATAAACTTTGGAGAACACATTAAAATCATAGAATTCTGCTTCTTGCCCTCAAAATGCATGTCCTTCTCACATGTAAAATGCATTTACTTCCTTCAAATGGCCCCAAAGTCTTAACTTCTTCCAGCATGAACTCAAAAATCTAAAGTCCAAAGTCTCATAGAGATCAGATATGGGTGAGACTTCAGGTACAATTCATCCTGAGGCAAATTTCCTCACAGCCATGAGCCTATGAAATTAAACACATCATCTGTTTCCAAAATACAATGGTGGGACAGGCATAAAATAGACATTTCCCATTCCAAAAGGGAGAAATAGGACAAAAAGGGTCACTGGTTCCTAGTAAGTCCAAACCCAATAGAGCAAATAGCATTCAATCTTAACACTCTAGAATAATCATTTTGACCCCATACCCCACCTTCTGAGCACACTGGGGCAGGGGCTGGACTCCCTAGCCCTCAGTTAGCCCCACCCCCATGGCTGTGCCTACAAAGCAGCTTTCACAAATTGGAGCCTCCTATTTGCAGCATTCCCAGGCTGGTGTTGCACACTGGTAGCTCTACAGTTTTGGGGTCTCAGTGATAGCCCTACCGCCACAGCTTCACTACGCATTGTCGTAGTGGAGATTCTCTCCCTCCATGGCTCCTACCCCACAGTTCCACTGGCCACTTCCCTAGTGTGGGCTCTTGGGGTGACTCCACCCCCAAAGCAGGTTTCTCCCTGGGTCCCCAAGATATTCCATACATTCCTTGAAAGCTTCGTAGTTCTGCCTCCAAGTTTATGAATTATCTGCACCTGCAGAATTAGCACCAAATAGATGCTACATGGGTTTACCTCTTGCACATTCTGGAGTGGTAGCTCAAGCGACACCTGAGACTTCCTGAACCATAACTGGGGTGGCCAAGGAGCACTGCATTGGAATGTGGGGAACAGAATGCAGAAGAGTCTCTGGGAAATGAGCCTTTCCTTCCCTCAAGGTCCTAACATGCTGAGCCTGTGATGGAGGGGCAGCCTGGAAGAGCTTCGAATTGTCTTGATGAATAGCACCTGGCTTCCTTCTAGCTCTAGTAATCCCTTTATCAAAGCTTGCTTAGCTGCATTCTTGCATGCTTTTTTTGTTCTATATATAGCTAGGATGCAAATTTTCCAAATTTTTACATTCTGCTTCCCTTTTAAGTATGAATTCTGTCTTTCAACCACTTCTCTCTTCTCACAGTTTACTCTATGTGGTGAAAAGAAGTCACGTAACACCTTCAGTTTTACTTAGGAACTTCTCTCACCAGATATCCTAGTTTATCTTCTTAAATTCTTCTTTCCATAAAGCCCTTGGGTATTCAGCCAAACTCCTTGCATTTTGTAATATGGATGGCCTTTACTCCAGTTTTCAATAATTTATTCCTCATTTCCATCTGATACCTCAACAGAATGGCCTTCACGGTCCATATTTCTACCAACATTCTGGTGACAAATCACTTACGTAATCTCTAAGAAGTTCCTTACTTTCCCTACAGCTTTTCTTTTCTTCTGAGGTCTCACCAGAATCACCCCTAATGCTCCATCTATGGCAATGCAGGCTTTTCCTAGCACACTGTTCCAAACTCTTCTAGACTCTACCCATTACCCAGCTCCAAAGCTGCTTCTTCATGTTCAGTTATTTGGTATAGCAACAGCTCTACTTCTGGGATTGTTTTGTGCTGCAAGAGCAGAATACCTGAGACTGGGTAATTTATTAAAAAAAAAACAGGAGGCCGGGCGCGGTGGCTCACGCCTGTAATCCCAGCACTTTGGGAGGCCGAGGCGGGTGGATCATGAGGTCAGGAGATCGAGACCATCCTGGCTAACAAGGTGAAACCCCGTCTCTACTAAAAATACAAAAAATTAGCCGGGCGCGGTGGCAGGCGCCTGTAGTCCCAGCTACTCGGGAGGCTGAGGCAGGAGAATGGCGTGAACCCGGGAAGCGGAGCTTGCAGTGAGCCGAGATTGCGCCACTGCAGTCCGCAGTCCGGCCTGGGCGACAGAGCGAGACTCCGTCTCAAAAAAAAAAAAAAAAAAAAAAACAAAAAAAAAACAGGAATTTATTTCCTCACAGTTCTTGGGACTGAGATGTCAGGATGGAGAGGCTAGCTTCTCCATCTTGAAGGCCTTCTTACTGCATCATCCCATAATGGAAGGGCAAAGAGAGAGAGAGAGAGCAACAGGGTGTCAAAGTCATCCTTATATAAGGAACCCGCTCTCACAATAATGAGCCCACCTCCACAATAATGGCATAAATCTATTCATTAGGGTGGTGCCCTCATGATCCAAACACCACCTGTTAGGTTTTACTTCCCAACACGTACACATTGGGGATCGAGTTTCCAACACATAAACTTTGGGGAACATATTCAAACCATAGTATGATCTTAGCAAACTCATCCCTGTTCTACCTGTTCCAGACAAGGAATAATTGAAGTATAAAGAGAAGTCAGGAATGTTCTAGCAAGAGTTTTGTTCCTTCCACATGGAATAAAATATAGGAAAGAATAATAAGCATTCCATCCCTGTCCCACCACACTCCTCCTCCCAGAATATCCTGTAATTTTCTATATAGTCTGCCTGTGAAGAGTCTCAGCTACAACACATGCACAAACCAGCAAGCCTCTAAAAAAAGTCTTGAGGTTACAGTGACTAGAGATTGTTGTTTAGGAACACTGCTCCAATACCCTCATACAGATGTATGAAAGGCAGTTACTTCTTTCCTACAAAAGGGACAACAATGACATCCACCTTCCATGAAGGCTATATGCTAGCTACGCCATGGTCTTGGACCCAGTTTGCTATATAAACTCTTATTGCCAAACAACCACATGACATTTTATGGAACTATTATATTTTGTCTCATAAAGGACTACCACAATTTTACCAGCTGGGTCACGAAAGGATAAGTTATTTAACTAGTCCACAAAAAATGAGCCCTGATGATCTGGTTACAGAAAACATGGGAAGAGCAAAATACTTTATGCAAAATTCCCACATCGTTTGCATGTCTTTCTGCATTTCCATTTTCTATTAAAAAAATCTATCTCCATATTTTATAGTTCTTTGATTTGCTAAAACTGCAAAGTAGGATACATGTCATTTGGGTTACATAATACATATCCTCTCCTGTGTGTGATATTCGAAACTGAAGTACATTACACACACTTTTGAACATGGTGTGCTAGTTTTCCTATTTCAGCACAATCATGAACATATAGCTCCTCAACAATCTTAGCTTGTTCCAATTGACTATAATTTTTATCTTTCTGATGCTCAAATGTTAACAGCTGGGCCACTAACAGCCTTTTAAAAAATGCTGGCCTCTTTGCCCTTTTCAACGAACCCCAGACATCTCTGAAAATATGTTTGCTTTCTTACAATAAAATATTTCAGGTCCATCTTTATCAGTTATGCCTCAAGACATGGTATTAGCTATTCTCCCAGGAGTTATAGTTGCCTTAGCAAATGATAGTAATTCTGAAAACTGGGGTTAAAAGGGGCATAAAAAGAATTCCCATTGAGTACTTGCAGTGAACAGAGTAACTCCAGAAAAGAAGAAGAATATTTCCTTTAGGTTATGAGTTTATATTGACATTTTCAAATTACCGCTATCTTTTCTCAATTTGTTTTTCTATTGAACTTGGCTAATATAAACATTTGGCAATCCAGTTTTTCTGTTCTATTGACTACCACTTCTATCTCCTTTGTCTAGTATCCTTCAAGTACCATTTCTATATACTGCATCATACCAAACCTTTCTATTAAAAACTATATATTTTTCTATTTTCCTCATTGACTTTCAGCCAATGCATCCTAGAATTGACCCCAAAGTGTACAGATTAAATGATTTTCTCTGTCAGTATTATCGGAAAACATTACTTTCTATTTGCAAAGAAATGAAAATGGCAATCTAACCCAGGGGATACCAGGTAATTTGAAAGCAAATGTGCCTAACACTATGCATGGACTTCCTCCCTTTGCTTAATAAAAGTCATCAATGAAATACAGAATATAGTAAAATACTGACTCTAAAAGTTTTGTCCTTTAAGCTTCACTGTCTTTCCCTTTGGCTTTATTTTCTTGTTTTATTACTTTGTCATTAGTATTTTGATTCTTGAGGTCAGTTCAACTATAATTCTGTTTACCTTTTATTTAAACATCTACTATTGTCATTACAAGTAACTGCAGATATGTGTGACCCACCACCAGTTTTCTTTCTACTTGTATCCAAGCAACAACAACAAATCAGAATGTTATAGCAGTGAAATATTGTAGTGTAAACATATCAATTTTTTCATTGGTAAAAATATGCCAAATCTGGGATCAACGCCTACTTCCTGAAGAAAGAAAACATACAGTCATCTTATAAAAATAAAAAGTATCAAAATACTACTTAATTTATTAGGCAAGATATCCCCACAGTTTGGATTGTAGCATCAAATAAAGAAAAGTGTGATGTTCCCTCTTTAGTAAAAAATCGACATCTCTGAAAACTATTTTTGTGCCAAGTAACTTGAATATTTCACGAAAAATCATAGCACCTTGAGGTCAGAATATATTACTTTAAGAAAAATGATTTGGTGTGCACATTTCAAAACAGAGATACTTGGACCCAAGCTTCCCCTCCGTGTGGAAATAGCCGAAGCTATGAGCGGGGGCTGGAAAAGGGTGATTCATATCATGTTATGTTTTCTCACATGTGCAAATTGTTAAATGGACTCAGGTCCTGGGAATGGGCATTAACTCAGTTCACCTTGCATTCCAAATTATGACAGATGTGGTGATCAGGACATCTTCCAGAGTGAGCGAGAGCGAGCAAGAACGAGAGAGCGAGAGCGAGCGACAGAGCGAGCGAGCGAGCGAGTGCACTGACTTGTCACTTAACTATTTTTCAGCTTCTCCGTGTCAGCAGTGCCAAGTTGATTGGTTCTTATGATCTCTCTTCAACTCTGCAATGCTGACAGCCCAGTACACCGGGCTTGCCTCATTCAGTGCCTCCTTTCCTAACGTTGTCTGTATGTAAGAAGGTTTGAGGTGCTTCAGGAGCTAGCCTAAACCCCTAAACATTGCCATTTTTTATCAAAAAGTGATTTATTAGGAACTTTGAACTCATGCCATCTAGTTTAGGTGAAACTTGCTTGTTGCATGTATAGGCATGTGTCCAACCTTGGGTATTTCAGAGTAGTTCTCCATGTAAGTGAGGCTAGGTGTTGAAGTCATCATATCAGATAAAAATTAGGTATAATCCATCTGGGCGCAGTGGCTCACGCCTGTAATCCCAGCACTTTGGGAGGCTGAGGCGGGCAGATCACGACGTCAGGAGATCGAGACCATCCTGGCTAACACGGTGAAACCCTGTCTCTACTAAAAAACACAAAAATTAGCCGAGCGTGGTGGTGGGCGCCTGTAGTCCCAGCTACGCGGGAGGCTGAGGCAGGAGAATGGCATGAACCTGGGACGTGGAGCTTGCAGTGAGCCGAGATTGTGCCACTGCACTCCAGCCTGGGCGACAGAGCGAGACTCCGTCTCAAAAAAAAAAAAAAAAAAAAAAAAAAAAAAAAAGTTAGTATAATCCAGTGATCCTTCAGAAACCTCCCTCCCTTAGTACACTTAACAGGACAGGAGTTCTCAGACTCCTAAAAGACTATGATTGGCTTTGTCTTTGTTTCTTTCTGTATTTTGGACTTGTCCTTCTTTTACTCTGGGAAGTGGAGACCCAGAGATCTAGTTTGAAGAAAAGGAAAGCAAAGAACTGAAAAAAAAAAAAAAAAAAAAAAAAGATTTCTCTCCTACTTGGTTGAAGGAAATGAGGTTAAAAGGGCATACACTCAAAACTATAGTTCATTTATTTGATAGATGTTCACTGATCACTGCTCTAAGTGCTAGAGGTATGATAAGTGAACCAAACATGGGAAAAATCTCTCTTCATGAAATTTACATTCTATAATAGTAACTATTTAATGGTTTCCCAGCTTTACTAAAGGAGGGTACTTTTTCTTTTCTTACTGTTTTTAGCTGGTTTTGGAAGAAAATTAAAAATATCATTATTTTGCTGTCTTAGTAAGTCATTTGTGTTGGCTTTGTTAATGCGATAGCATGCTGAGTGGATTATAAAGCAGCCCAGCTTACCTGGGTTATTTGAGCAGAGTTCATTTACAGAATATTGCAGACATCCACGTGCCCACTGATTTACTGTATTCAGCTACCAACTCTACGCATATAGACACCTCCGCATACATACACACAATACCTACAACTTGCCTGGGCAAATAATAAGAGTTTACTGTAAATTCATGGGCTTGATACAATTTGTATATTATCCCCTGAACTAAATTTCTGTGTTACCTACAATCCTTTGCCATAATTTCCTATGTCTATCCAGTTGGCTGCATGACAGAAAAGAATGATCACCCAAATTTTTATTAATAGAGTACCAAGCCTCATGGTCTCCGTTCTTTCTTCCTTAATGCAAAAAATAAAAAAGAAAGATTATATTTTTACCATCGGAATTCCTCTGACTCATCATCCATTTCTAAAATTGCTCTGAGACTGCTTTCTGGGCAGAGAAGTGAGAAGCTCACTCTGAATAACACAGCAACTGTCATTTAGTACATTCTCTGAGGTTAACTACACTTGCCCCTTCTTTCACAGAATAGTAGCCATTTCTACTATAGAATTCTTCTGGTCCTCATCCATTTCTTCCCAGTGAGCGCTTGAATTGTTTTTGACAGCAATACGTGCTCTGCTCCTGGCACCATCTCCTATGACTCTACTATAACCAATGTTTGAATTACCATGTGGAACAAGCACAAGCCTGTATTTCTGTCATAATTGCCTTTCATTCAGTAAACTGTGGAATAGGTAAGACCACGGTAGCTCATAAAGAATATTTAGGACTCCTACTGTGATAAAACCTTTCTGATAAGAACATATTTTACATGGTCTCCACTTAGACCATGAATGACTACTGAATACATCCTGTGTTACTATAGTAATTGATTTACACAATAGCTTTCATGTAGCACATACAAACTCACTCTTTGGCCAAATACGAAAGATTTTTGAATGCAACAAGTTTGGTGGAGCAGAGAGCCTGCTGAGCTGAAAAGCAAATACAGCTATCTGATTAATTGATTCTGACCTCATAAATATTATACTTTGGGGGCTCTAATGGAACTTCCTGAGGGTAAATTGTATGGTTCACCTCATTCATTTATATCTCTGGCTGACAGATGTACATTATAAAATGTCACTGAATATGCTGGCAATAAATGAGGTATAACATTAGCATCTTGATTCTGTGGTGAGATTTTTATGGCACACTTTTGTTAAATGATTCCAACAGTAGTAAAAATATTACAATATTATTTCAATATATATAGTCCTGTCTTTTTTTAATCAGTCTTCCAGCAATTCACATCGCTCTCCTTTAGTTATAACTAACATTTCTGCATTTATAAAGCAGGTCTCTCTTTTAATGTATTCTATCTCTCCTGAATAATTAACAATTGCTGACTAGTGGTAACAAGAAGCTCTGGGCATTCTTGTTGTTGTGCTATTAATATGCTTTATAACATTTCAAACTTCATTATGAGGCAAAACTCAAGAGATAAGGCACAAATTGATAGTCTTGTTTAGCAATTAAAATTTCAGCCTCATGATAATGATGAAAAAGTTATTTCATTTCATTCAAAGAAACATTTATAAATATTAAAAATCTACAGAATAAAAGCAAAACCAAAGGAATTTTATAAAATAATAGCATAACTATTTTAACACACGTATTTGGTTTTATTATGCTAACATCTCCCAGAGAAAAATGCATTGTACCTATACTACGAGAGCCTAAAATATGCAAATTTCAGTGAACATTAATCTTGCCAGTGAAAAGATGATTATTTTAAAGGCAATTTAGCTTCAAGAAAAGGTTAAAAAGAAAAAAAGCATGTCTGCCAAATAGAACAATTTAATAATATACTTGGAGCACCATTATTCTTTTTTTGTTTTGGATTTTTGGAACTCAGGAAAATAAAAGAACATTTATTTTTCAGAAGTTAGAATCCTTCTCACCATTTAAAGATCTGAGAATTTGAATATTAAAGACAGAATTTCATATTGGTTACATGGTTACCATTCTTATAAAGCTTTTTCTATATTTTGTGTTGTATTATTTCGATATCTTTACACATTTAGAAGGAAAAACATATTTAATCTTGTTTTTTCAGTGAGAGGCAAGAATATAGAGAAGTTATGAAGCATGAGTATGGTGTTAAGAAATCAGGGGTTGAGCTGGTTATTATCAAATGTCACAATCTAATTTAGTCAGCCAAACATGTTCAGTCTGCTTTTTACCTTAACTGAAGCCCAGCTAAACAAACAACGACAATACTCTAAAAAAAATCTAGTGGCTGAAATGCAAATAATTTCTAACATGATTAGTAAACTTACATTTAAAGTTCCTAGATAAAAAGTAAATAAAAAAGAACATGGCTTTGGCATAGAGGAAAGACTCACATTTGTTGTAATACAAGTAAATGTAGCATGGATATTTCCAGATACTGCTAATTTAATGTTAAAAGTGGCTAAAATTATGCTATATATGTATTTTCAGATTTCCTCAATTAACTTTAACACAACCTTCAGACCTCCACTTCTGTCCCTTGTGCAGAGAAATCTTCTTTGATCCTCTTTTCATGTTCTTTTGTTACTTTCTTTTTTGCCTTTATACATTCCTGAGTGTGATTATGTGATTAAAACCTACCTCTTCTACTAGACTGTTAGGGCCATGAAAGAGGAATCTAAGCACATTTATTGTATTCCCAGAGTACTAAATTAATCTGCTGAAAATTTTAATTTACACTGCATTTGACTAAAAATTCTAATTTTTTCAAATATGTGTAAATGTCAATTTTGTGCTATATTTATAGTTTTATTAAATTTTAATTTACTATAAATAACTGAAATATGTCTGTCTCCTAAAAATGTTGAAATCTAAGTGGGAAATATAGGATTCAACGTTGAAAATTTTTTTAATGGAATTCTGTTGAACAATGTGTACATTTTTTTTAAAATCCTTTGACCCATGTCTCTGACAGCACATAAAATATCATTATTGTTAATATTTTAAGATGTATTTTATATTTGTCCTTTATTCCCTTAAAAATTTAGGTAAAGCTTATCAAACCTGAGGCCCGCAACACAGGACAGTTTTGAATGCAGACCAACATAAATTTGTTAATTTTCTTAAAACATTATGAGATTTTTGTGATTTTTTTTTTTTTTTAGTTCATCAGCTATCATTAGTGTTAGTGTATTTTGTGTGTGGCCCAAGACAATTTTCCTTCTTTCAATGTGACCCAGGGAAGCCAAAAGATCGTACACCCCTGATTTAGGTGAAAAGCTCAATTAGTTTCTTTTATTTTTAAAAATCAGCAAATTGGTCATTTGGCAAACTGATTCTCAAATAATTGATTTGAGGTGAATTAAACTGCTTCTTATTTACAGTGTTTAGCAAAAATCCTAGCAAAATAAATATGTATGCTTTTTGATTTGTAATCTGTAAAGTTATATTTTTTAAAAATAGTTTCCATACCATGAGAAAGGTTCTTGTTGGATTCATTTAGATAGATATTGAGCCACTTTACAAAGACTTTTAACCTCCCGTAATCTCTCTTCTTTTGAAAAACGTATACCAATAATTCGTTGCCTCTCTGATGGGAATTTTGGAGAGATTAAACAATGTATATGTAGGCCTTTTGTAAACTATAGAGAATTATAAACATATAAGGCAGTCAAAAAGCAGCTTAATATAAAGGATCATTTGTGCATGACCCATCTATCTTTGTAAAATTGTTCCACACGAATGGTACATTAATTCTTGAGGGCTTTTGGAGTTAATCAACCAGAGGTCCAGGGTTATAACAGTTTCATGGGTATTTTCAGGGTGTTTTGTCAAATTCCTTTTTTTAGAAAAGCAAACACTATTTATTCCTAGAACTTCCTTAGGACTGTAATCCATAGACAATTTACACTACCAATCAGGACCTCTTCAACACCAAATAAAACAAATTCTCAACCATTTATTGGTATGTAACTTATCTGAACATACTTTCAAATTGTTCTTATTCATTGCCACTAATAAAAGGTAGAATTTGTTATATTCTTACCTTATATTTTGGCTATGAAATAAGAGGTGCCCTGCTTCATCAAGCTCCTGTGTAGGTGGATGTCATTGGAAGTCTTATGGCACAATGGTCAGAAAAGTCAGTTTAGTCCATTGAATCTTCAAGTTGCAGATGAAAACAAATACACCTTAGTGAGCTTGAGAATTTAGTTGCTCAATGGCCAAAGAGCTAGTAAACATTGGAGCTGGGATGCAGCTTTGGGGCTTTCTGACTTAGAAGGCCATACCTTAACTCACTGTCTAGATAGGTGACTGTTAGGGGAAAGCTAAACTCTTTCCTCTTTAAAACCTGTAAAATAATTTCTCAACTATTTATTGGCATCTACTTTATCTCAATGTATTTTCAGTTACAGCCATCCCTCACTATTGGTTTTAGGACCTCTACAGATAACAAAATCCATGGATGCTCGAGTTTCCAATATAAAATGGCATAATATTTGCATGTAACCTTTGCACATTCTTCCATATAATTTTAATCATCTCTAGATTACTTATAATACCTAATATAATGTAAATGCTATATAGATAGCTGTTATATGGTATTTTATTTGAATTATTATTGTTTTTTTTTTTTTACTGTTTTTTAATGAATATTTTAGATCCATAGTTGGTTGAATCTGTGGACAAAGAACTCATGGATCCAGGGCCAACTATAGTTTTCTCAATTAAATGTCACCCTTAAAGAGTAAAATTTGCTGTTCTTCCTTTCAGGTACAATGAAAAGAGATGTACTCTAATATCAAATGTCAAATATAAAACTGACTTGCAATCTATAAACGCTGGAGTTCATCTTAGCTCCATGTTTTACTTTACACTGTGGCCAACTAAGGCAGATGGGAAGCGAAGCAAAGAAAGAAGAATTGTTTGCATCCCAATGGCAAAGCATTGTTCTGAGGTCCCCTCCCATCACCACATATACACACACACACGGTTCTTAATTCACCTTTAACTTCTGAAGTTCTGTACCTTATATTTGCTCAACGCTTAGATCCACTTTCTGCTTACTTAATTCTACTTACTAGTTTTATGTCCTTGAGTCTCTGTTTTCTCATATATAACATGAGAAATACTACATATTATCATATACAGTATATTAACATAATATGCTTTTTAGAACTGTTGTGATTCAATGTGATGAGACAATTTATATGAACTTCTTAAAATAGCAAGTGGCATTTAGAAACAATAAAAATAAAAATTATATTTATTATCAATGTTAATAATCTATTATAGAAAATCAAAAAGAATAAGAGAGAAGATGGAAAACGGGAAAATAAAAAGAAATGAAGGGAAGAGAAAGAAATCTATGTGTCTTTGGAGATAAATATGAAAGTGAAGATACAAGGCAATGCTTCGCATCGCACCTGACTTCTTTCTCTTTTCTGCTCTCATCTCCCACCATTCTCTTCTTTGCTCCCTATAGTCCGTCCATGCTGATCTACCTGCCTTTTCTACATACACCTTGCTTCCTAGTACTCCCCATCCTTTTCACATTCCATTCCTTCTCCTTTGAACAATATAGTTGTCCATTTTTAATCCATGGAAGAATTATTCACAAGCTTGACAAAATTTATACAGAACTGCAGTTGTTTATGTGCACAGTGTATCACTCGACTAGATTTTTACATTTTTTAAAGAAGGAGAGCCTTGTTCAGTGTTGTATCTTCTGTGGCACCTACAGATGTTTATTGAATTGAATAAAATGTTCACAATCTTGCTTTCTTCATTTTTTAGGAAACAACTGACTTATATATCATGGTTTTTTACAATTTCTCTCTGAGTTAAAAACAAAAACAATCTTTTTACATTTTTTACCCCATCTTTATCTATTAATGTACTTGCTTTGGAATAAGATGGAGTACTTACACTGCAATGGGAAAATTCATTTTTCAACACTGGATGCATTTTGGAACTACTAGAACACTTAAAAAAATACTGTTGTTCAGCATATACTCCACAATAAATCGGAATCTATCTTGGTCTTTACTGGGGAAGAGGAGCTGGCATGAGATTTTTGTTTGTTTGTTTCATGGGTTATTTTCATGCTAAGCCACAGTTGAACCATTGGTTTAACTCCATGACTTTGTGGTTGGATTGGACGAAAAATGGGCAGCCAAACATGGCCAATCTCTGC